>NC_000015.10:90077641-90229156 GCF_000001405.40 Homo sapiens | reverse complement strand
CGCACGCAGCCCAAGCTGGTCCTGAATCTGCAGTGAGACAGGGCAGCCGGTGGCAGCGGGATAATGTGGAAGGTGAAGAGGCCAGTTGGTGAGGGTTTCCAACTCTGTCTCAGACAACCACTTTGGATGCATCCCCAGCACCCCTGGGAGGCCATGAACTGGAGCAGCCGTGTGTGCTGCATGCCATGCTATCTCTTCCCTCTCATTCTAGTTTCACATTTGGAATTGTTTTTTAAACAAAGGGCTCAGTTTACATAAGGAGCACTGTTCCACCAACCTAGGCAGGCCCCCATATTTGGCCAGGACCTCTGGGGCCACGGCTGTTTGGGTGTCTGGGTGGTAGGAGCTTCGCTACTTGACTGGAGAGCAGCAGGCCAGCTGGCCCCAAGGCTCCCAAGGGCCGGGCACCACGGTCGTGTTCCACGAAGAGCAGAGCGGAGGGGAGGTCCAGTTGACCCTCTCCGAGCATTCACAGCCCCTGAAGCCAGGGCAGCGTCCTCTGGAAGTCAGCTCTCACACCACAGAGTCACGGATCTCCGAGCCAAGGCGGACCCGGGGCCGGGGGCACACTGGGGATACCTCCACGAAGCTGTCTTGGATGCTGAGTGGCCTCTTCTCTGACTCAGTGAAGACTCGGGACCCCGGGGGGCTGTCTGACAGGGACTGGTACCCTCGGTGATCGAGCGGGGTGCTAGGGGGCCCTAGGCCGTTGAGTGGGCGGGTCTCAGGGGGCAGCACCACAGGGCAGGTCTTGGGGTGCACGCTGGCACATTCCCCCTGCTTCAGGAAGACTTTCATGCTGTTCCGGTGCCGGTAGAGCAAGAATAAAACTGGGAGCAGCACGGCCAGCACAAAGAGCGTGCACATCACCAGGAACTCCTTCCAGTAGGACCTGTCTGCACCCCAGCTGGCCTTGCCACCAGCTGGTGCACTCACACGCGATGTGCTGATAATGACGGGTACACTGCCACCCTCATCTGTTTGGTCTGCCACCCCGTCCTCCACCACCTCTGGGCAGTAGCTGGCTACCAGCTGCTGGAAGCCCTCCTCTAGTGACCAGCACTGGAACTCCCCCAGCTGTTGGGTGCCCACCAGCAGCAGGTCCCCAGTGGGTAGCACGTGGCAGGAGGCCGAGGCATTGACGGGGGCCCCGTTGCGTAGCCAGAGTCGGGTCGCCAGGTTGGAGAGGAGCGGGCAGGCCAAAGTGTTCACTGTGTTGGGCTGGAACTGGACTTGCTCACATGGCTTCTCCCCTGTAGGCAGAAAAGGCATGGGGTAGGGGGGTGCCAGCGTCCACAGTAGCTCCAAGCTCCCCTGCCTCCCTCTGGGCTATGCCCCTGGTGCCACGATGGGCAACTCCGGGGACCCCTGGGACTGAGTCTTCCTGGGGACCTGCTTACAGGGGTAGGGGGCAAGGAAGTGAGGAAAGGCATTTACAACATCTGTGCCTGGGGGAGCCTTCCAAGCACACTTGTCCCCACCTCTCTCCTCCACCTTTTGAGGGGGCACCTCACCTGTTGGTACAAAAGACGGGGACACAACCGAAGACGCGCTGCAAAGGTCCTTGGCGCTGGCTCCCTCGATGTCCTGGATCCACGGCCTGAGGGCCAGAGAGAATTCTGGGATTGGCCAGGAAGTCCCCTGAGCTCACATTCCCTCACCCCTCACTGCAGACTTGGGCCTGGGCAAGGGCCTTTCCTGAGCTGATTCCCCACCCACAGGAGTCAGCATCTCCTCTGTCTACACATTATTTCAAGTCAAAGCTAAGATAACACTTCCCTTAATTACATAAACAGTATGTACCCTCAGTGGCCAGGCATGGTGGCCCACGCCTGTAATCCCAGCACTTTGGGAGGCCAAGGCCGGTAGATCGCTTGAGCCCAGGAATTCAAGACAACCTGGGCAACATAGCGAGACCCCATCTCTACAAAAAATAGAAAAATTAGCCAGGCATGGTGGCGCACGCCTGTGGTTCCACCTGCTCAGGAGGCTGAGGTTGGAGGATCGATTGCTTGAGCCCAGGAGGCCAAGGCTGCAGTGAGCTGTAATCACACCACTACACTCCAGCCTGAGCAACACAGAGAGACCCTGTCTCAAAAAATAATAATAAAAAATAGTATGTACCCTCAGAAAAAGATTAGAAGGACAGCTGGGATCTGTATGTATAGATCTCTCTTTTTCTTTTTTTTAATTAAAATTTTTTTTGATGTGTTCTCATCTTTTTTTTTAAACAGTGCACATGCATACATCTGTGTAATAAAAAATAAAGGACAGTAATTCTGGATACACTCAGGAGACAGATAAGTCAACCAGGCACGAAGGATGAAAACACTACAAAAATCACAGCATCTACCAGCCAGTGATCATGACAGTTAACATTCTGGGGTGTCCCTCCTGGCATACGCACCAAAACTCACTTGGTTTTTGTAAAAACTGACACCAGGTGTATCCATATGTGAAGCAAGAACACTACAAACAGGACAGTTGCCAATGTTATATAAAATATATGAATGTTTGGCCAGACGCGGTGGCTCATGGCTGTAATCCCGGCACTCTGGGAGCCCAAGGTGGGTGGATCATCTGAGGTCAGAAGTTCGAGACCAGCCTGGCCAACATGGTGAAACCCTGCCTCCACTATAAATACAAAAATTAGCTGGGCATGGTGGCGGGCACCTGTAATCCCTGCTACTTGGGAGGCTGAGGCAGGAGAATCGCTTGAACCCAGGACGTGGAGGTTGCAGTGAACCGAGATTGTGCCACTGCACTCCAGCCTGGGCGACAGAGCGAGTCTCCAAACAAGATAAATGAAATGAAATGAAATAAAATAAAAGGATTTTTGTTATCTATACACATATGTAGTAAAACCTGAGAGGATAATATATCAAAATCTCACTGCGATTCTCTCTAGGTGGTGGGATGAGGGGTAGTTTTGCTTTGTGTTCATCCCTATTTTCTAAATGAACATTTTATAATCCAAATAGGTTATTCTGAAACCAATTTTTACTGGGTTTGTTAATGGACTGTTTCCTAGCCCTACTATTACTAAAGCACGTTCACACGCTAATCCACATTTTCCTGCAAGGCTTTTCAAAGCTGTGCTATTTCATACTTTACCAAATCATGTCCTCGTTTTACAGGTAGCCAAGATAAACACACAATTTCCTGTCTGAATTGCACTTGAGAGGAAGCAGGAGAGCTAATTAATAATTATGCTGAGACAGTGGACATAAACGAGGCTGTGTGGCGGTCCCAAGGAGGGCCCAGGATGGTGCTCCGAGGTCACCTGTGCAGGGCTGGACAGATGGGAAGGGGCCTTTGGGAGTGCTCACCTGGTGGCCAGCTGAGGCTGGTAGAGGCTGACGTGCTTGCAGCTGGAGCCGCTCCAAGCACAGTAGGGGTCCCGGGCGAGGAGGCAGTCCCCACAGCTCCTGTACAGGCTGCAGTTGGCCATGGGCACCTGGACTACGCCCGAGTGTGAGGCCGCATACAGCAGCCCCTGCACAGCCAGACACGGGGATGAGAAGCGGGCATGGGCAGCCAGGGCCATCACCCATGGCCACCCGGCTTGTATGCCTCCCAGAGCCACCCCCAAGAGGCCTGTTACGTAACAGGCGACCCCACTTTCTAATAGTTCATGACTGGATCCTTTATCTTTCCATCCTCCTGAGGCAAGGGAGGAGAAGCTGGGTGGGGACTGCTTGGTGCTAATGGAGGGCACCCCCCAAGTACCCTGCCAGGATTCCTCGTTGGCCTGCTCACCCTGTGGGTGTCCAGGAGCAGATTCTGCACGGGCTGTCCCGATGAGAAGATCTGCAGCTCCTCAATGATGTGCACCCGGGGGCCCACGCTCACTGCCTTGTGGAGCCGGCCGTCACCTGGGGTGTGGACAGGACTCAGGCCCTGGGTGGAGCCCACTGCCCATGACCCACCAGCCACGTGCACCCCTTCCCCTGAGCCTGCTGGGCTGCAGACACTTACCAGTGCCCAGGAAGAGGACATCGTAGGTGTGGTGCAGGCCAGGGACGCGGTGTACAGCCACGCGCTGGTAGCGAGCCTGGGGCTGCAGCAGCAGCATGCGGCTTCGGACCTGCCCGTCCATCAGGAAGTGGTCCTTGAGGAAGTTCAGCACGCGGTCTGGGAGCTGCAGGGATGAGTTGATCTTCCTTTCCCGGGCACTGTTGGTGATGCACTGGAGGAGAAAGCAGCAGTGTGAGGCCAGCCACACCTCGGGGTGGCAGGCAGGATGCGGGCCCTGCTTCCCCAGTGGACAGTAGCGGTGTCTGTCCCCCCGCCCGGAGCCAGGGCACATCCCTGGCAGTGCTCTACAGAGCCAGTGTGCACATCTGAGGGAGCAAGGACAAAGCCCAGGGTGCGGGGAAACCGAGTGCTTGGAGGGCTTCCTTGCTGTGCCTCCTCCCTGCCCACCACCCCAGCCTCATATGCCCAGGGGCCTCAAGAACCAGGACCACACTCCCTGCTCCTCTGCACCCTTCACCAGTGCTCTCAGGAAGCCCTGGCCGGGCAGAGCGTCCCAGTGCAGTCGGCAGTTCTTTCCTGCCCCGCCTGAGGCTTCCTGAAATTCTGAGAGGTGCTCCACACCATCTGTCAGGGGCTCCAGCAGGACCCAGCTCCAGCTGCCCACAGCAACAACAGCGTGCTGACACACCCTCTTTTGGTTTCCCTCCCTCCTCCTCTCAACCTTCCTATTCCTTCATGCTGCTTCCTGGCATCACCTCCCTAATAAACTATTTGGCACGTATATCCTTGTCTCAAGGTCTGCTATCAGGGTAGCCCGTTAGGCTAGAAGGGAGGAAGAAAGGATTATTTCCCCACAGCTTGCCCATTCAGTCACTTGATAATTAAATAAGGAGCTTGCAGCTGAGTAGGGGAGAGGACCAAATGAAGAGATGATTGTAACAGCCTGCAGCAAGTGCCCTGATGGGGACACACTTGTATCCTGAAACAGAACTGAAGATATTCTGACATTCATACTTATATCTAACCCAGTACACAAGCAGGCCTGGGCCTATATCCCCATATTAAAGATGAGAAAAGAGATTCAGAGAAGCCAAGTGATCTGCCCGAGGCTAGGCAGCCTTGCTCCCAGCATGGTGTGGGGACCCACATCTTCCCGGCACCCCTTCTGGGTGCAGGGAGCCAGTACCCACCGCTCCAGGCCGGGGTGTGGGCACCGGGTGGGTCACGGTGTACCACTGCTGTGTCTCACGGTTCACCTCCTTGTAGAGGCCGCTGAAGACTCTCTGCACATCCTTCATTGTGAAGACACAGACGGCAGAGCCTTCTGTAGTTCCCCTGTGCCTGCAGAGGAAATAACCAGATTAACCCAGGAGCCCTGGGGGCCCCAGTCCCAGCCACCCTTCACCCTTCCATCTCCAGCGAGGTCTGGAGGCCCTACCACTGGGAAGTGAAGACCCCATAGAAAAGGGTGTCACGCCAGTCCTGGGGGCTGGGGCTCAGCGTGAAGACATCCTGCAGCACGTTGAAGGGGAAGCCATCGTCGGGCCGTGAGCACAGCAGCTGGGCCTTGAGGAAGGAGGTCCAGCGCTGCTGTAGCACCCGCTCTCCACCCTCATCGCCCTGGAGGGAGAGTCGGATGGGCTGGGCTTAGGCACATGCTGAGCCATGACGGGGATGCACGGCACAGGACTGCCTCAATGGACCCACCCCAGACACCAGGACTGAAGGGCAGGAGAAGGCCAGGACCAAGTTCCATCTAAAGTCAGGAAGAGCAGTGTACGCATCCATCAGGAGGATGGTCCTTACTGTAACTAAGCAGAGCCTTCCTAAATATGGACGCGATTCACTGCTGAGCAAACAAGGAAGCCAAAGGACCCCAATATAGCCTAATGCCATGTTCCTGAGTGAGTTAATAATATAAGTACAAGGTCGGGATGGTACTTATATTATTAATGCCTATAATTCCAGCACTTTGGGAGGCCAAGGCGGGTGGATCACTTGAGCTCAGGAGTTTGAGACCCTGTCTCTGCTAAAAATACAAAAAAATTAGCTGGGCATGGTGGTGCATGCTGGTAGTCCCAGCTACATGAGGGGCTGAGGTGAGAGGATTGCTTGAGATTGGGCAGCGGAGGTTGCAGTGAAATCTCACCGCTGCACACCAGCCTGGATGACAAAGTGAGACCCTGTCTCAAAAAGGAAAAAAAAAAATGTATATATATATATACACAGAGTTACACATATGCCAAAAAAAAAAAAAAAGATTTGGAGGGGGCATTCTAAAATGATACCAGTGACTCCTTCTTGTGCTGGGGTGGTGGGGTAATAACATTCATAGTTCACATTTAGTCACTGCCCACCACATTTCTAAGAGCTTTGCGTGGATTAATAATTCACATAACAACTCTGAGGTCAGTGTTATTCTTCCTATTTAACAGAAGAGGAAACTGTTAACCGAGGGGGTGAGGGACTTGCCCAAGATCCTAGGCCAGCAGGGTTTGAACTTGGGCAGTTGGCCTCCAGGGTCTGTGCTCTCCAGCTGATGCTACAGTGCCTCTTTAACTTGTAAGTGATTTTTGTGTGTACAGTTTTCTATTTTCACATTTTTTTTTTTGAGACAGTCTTGCTCTGTCACCCAGGCTGGAGTGCAGTGGCACCATCTCGGCTCACTGCAACCTCCACCTCCCAGGTTCAAGCGATTCTCTTGCCACAGCCTCCTGAGTAGCTAGGATTACAGGCGTGCACCACCACGCCCAGCTAACTTTTGTATTATTAGTAGAGATGGGGTTTTACCATGTTGGCCAGGTTGGTCTCAAACTCCTGACCTCAGGTGATCCACCCACCTTGGCCTCCCAAAGTGCTGGGATTACAGGCGTGAGCCACCATGCCCGGCTATTTTCACATTTTTTAAGTAAAAAAAAAAAAAAGAAAAGAAAAAAAATGGCTGGGTGCAGTGGCTCATGCCTGTAATCCCAGCACTTTGGGAAGCCGAGGTGGGTGGATTGTTTGAGCCCAGGAGTTTGAGACCAGCCCAGGCAACGTGGTAAAACCCCATCTCTACAAAAAATACAAAAATTAGCTGGGCATGGGGGCGCACACCTGTAGTCTCAGCTACTCGGGAGGCTGAGGTAGGAGAACTGCTTGAGCCCAGGAGGTCGAGGCTGCAGTGAACCGTGATCGTGCCACTGCACTCCAGCCTGGGTGACAGAGCAAAGATCCTGTCTAAAAATAAAAAGAAAAAAAAAAAAGAAAAAAGTAGTAAGATATTTTAATTTAAAAGGTGAGAGAGAAAAGCTGTTAGCCAAGCTGTACTCCTTGGCGGGATGGGAAAGGCCATGCATGGATGTGGGTGATCTTGCAGCTGTGGAGGCTTTGAGGTCCCTGGGGTGGCCACCCTGTCAGCCCGTTCCCCTCACCTTGCAGATGCGGGCAATGCGGGACACAATGGTGTTCTCAAAGAACTCAAATTCCTGGCCAGTCTCGCTGAAGAAAAAGTAGATCTTGTCATCATCGCCTTGCAAGCTGCCCAGGCTCTCAGGAATGTAGGCTGAGGCCACAAAAGCTGGGTCTGTAGGGACCAGGTCAGGAGCTCAGAGTCAGCCCAGGAACCCTGGAGACAGGCCAAGCTGGGGGAAAGTGCCCCCTTCTAGGGCTGGGTGAACAGGATCCCTGCCCTCTGGGTGGTGGCAAGAGGACTTCACCTTGCAGCCAGTTGAGGGAGCTCTCGGTCTTGGTGGGGCGAAGGCTTTGGCTCCGCGAGATGGCCGGGTCATTCCCTTGGAAGCTGCTGACTGTTCCAGTGTAGAGCTCGCCATCTGCCAAGAAAACATTCCCATGGGAATGGGCTCCTCAGCACGGCCCCTTCTCCCTGCTCAGGGCCCAGAGTGACCCCAGCACTGCCCGTTTTGCCTGTGGTGGGCAGAGAAGGAAGCTGGAACTTGGAAAAACCAAACCCAAGGCAAGCCCCTGGCCATTCTGTCCCCTTGGAAATAAGCATGGCATGGACTCAGCCTGTCCAAAGCTAGCCCTCTAGCCCTGTGTGCCCCTACATGGAACCTCAATGAAGCCATCCTGCCCTCAACACTCACCAACCACCAGGGCAGTGGACTTGAAATTCGGGTCGAAGGGACAACGGCCCTTGCCATCTTCCAGGAGGACATTCCCCTTCTCGTCCCTTGCCAGGGTGAAGTTCTCCATGTTCTGCAGGAGGGTGGACACATGGGCTCAGGGGCACTCCAGGGAATGAGGAGCAGGCTTGGTGAGAAAGAGAGAGGCGTGCAGGAGAAGGCAACTCTGCAGGCAGGTGAGGTGTGTGGGACAGAAGGGGTCAGGTGTCAGGGACGCCGTCCTCCTCAGCCAGGACACGGTGCCGAAGGGTTTGAACCTGGACAGTCGGCCTCAGGAGAGGCCTCACCCAGACACAGTGCCACACTGCCTCACAGTGACCCGACGCGGGACACATTATCAGACCCACCTGGCGGAGGAGGTGAGGCTTAGAAAATGATGTGAGCCTGGCCGGGCGCGGTGGCTCACACCTGTAATCCCAGCACTCTGGGAGGCCGAGGCGGGTGGATCACGAGGTCAGGAGATCAAGACCATCCTGGCTAACACGGTGAAACCCCCCTCTCTACCGAAAAATAGAAAAAATTAGCCAGGCGTGGTGGCGGGCACCTGTAGTCCCAGCTACTCGGGAGGCTGAGGCAGGAGAATGGCGTGAACCCAGGAGGCAGAGCTTGCAGTGAGCCGAGATCGTGCCACTGCACTCCAGCCTGGGCGACAGAGCGAGACTCCATCTCAAAAAAAAAAAAAAAAAAGAAAAGAAAAAGAAAAAAGAAATAAAATGATGTGAGCCTGGAAGGGGCAGCAATGTGATTCAAACCCAGGTGTGTCTGACCCCAAAGCTGGGCTCCAACCCACAGCATCAAATGCCACCCTCTGCTAGGGGTGTGTGCTGAGGAGGGGGTGTACAAGATAAGACAAGAGAATCAAGCAAAGGAGAGGGAGAGATGCTGGAAGAAGCAGAAGAGGGCAGCAAGGCCTGGGTGGCACAGGATCTTCATGGGTAAGTGACCGCATGTGCCCCCGCCTCCCCGCACAGGGAGACATGGCTGTCAGGGCTGCGCTTTGTGCCAGGGTGTGGGACCTCAGGGCTCTTGGAGGCCAGTGGTACCTAGAAACCTCCCTCTGGGCCCTGCCTTTCCTCAGGGGTCTATGCTACAGAACAGGATCCCTGGGGCAGAAAGAGGGGCAGTTCCCAGGTCAGCCTCAGGGCTGAGGACAGGTCACTCACGATGTAGGTACACATGGGGCTGAAGGCTGCTGTGCCACAGGTGAACAGGTGACTGCCGCTGAGCGGCAGGAGGATCTTGATGTAGTTTTGACAGTCGCGCTGGGGGGAAGGAGCGAGGGGATATCAGTCCCACGCCCAAGCATGCCACCAGGGGGCACCGCCGAGCCCCCCCTTCCACACCCAGGCCCGGCCTCTGCTCCCAGGACTGGGGATGGGGCACTCAAGTCTAGGAACAAAGAACCCACGGGTTTTCTGGGGCACAGTGGAGCGTGCACAGAGTGTGTGTGCTGCAGGGAGCCCAGGGGCTCAGCTAGTTTTGTGACTGGCAAACTTTCCTTCGGCCTAGGGGTGAGGGCACAGAATCCTACCCCTTTGAGTTGTACTATTCCCCAGCAGCATCCTCTTCAGAAGCCACAGGCCCCTCCCAACCAAGCTGGGAGCTGATGAAGCCACAGCCCAGAGCAGGAGGACTGCTCAGCCCTGAACCCTGAACCCCAGATTCATGCATCACCTTCAAATGGGGTATCTAACTGGCACCTGCAACCAAGCTTCTTTCTGGTCCTCCCTAAAACACATGCTTCCCCCCGAGATCTTGCCACTTTCATTAATTCTGTCTTTTCAGTCGCTGAGGCCCCAAACCCAGTCAGCCTTGACTCTTCTTGTCGGTCATACCCCATAATTTCCCACCCAGAAATCCTGGTGGCTCCATCTTCAAAATGCATCCGGAATCTGAGCATTTCTCACTGGTCCGAGCCACCATCATCACTCGCCCCTCACTGCTCTCCCTCCTCCTGTCCTTCCCCATGGAGGCTTCTCTACCACAGTAGCCAGAGTGACCCTCTTAGTACACAGGTGAGACCATGTCACATCTCTGCTCAGCCTTCCCCTGGCCTCCCAAATACCTCCCTCAGAGTGAAATCAAAAGTCCTGCCCCTCCTCCAGATATGCCACTGTCAGCTCCTCACTCTCTCCTGATCTTGGCTCAAATGTCACTTTTTTAATGAAATGTTACCTGACCACCTCATTCCATCCCACGCCCCGCCAATAACATTTGTAAACTGACTACTTTTTCTTTTGAAACACAGTCTCATTCTGTCATCCAGGCTGGAGTGCAGTGGCGAGATCTCGGCTCACTGCAACCTCTGCCTCCCAGGTTCAAGCGATTCTCCTGCTTCAGCCTCCCAGGTAGCTGGGGCTACAGGCGCCTGCCACCATGCCTGGCTAATGTTTTTTGTATTTTTAGTAGAGACGGAGTTTCACTATGTTGGCCTGGCTGGTCTCGAACTCCTGAGACACTCAGGAGACCATGAGGTGGAGACCTTGTGATCCACCTGCCTCAGCCTCCCGAAGTGCTGGGATTACAGGCGTGAGCCACTGTGCCAAGCCTGCTTTTTCACAATTAAATCTCCAGTACCTAAAAGTACATGGACACAGAGTGCATGCTTCATCAATGTTAGCTGAATAACAGAATGGCAGCCAGGACTTGAACCTGTGTCTTGATCCCAAGTCCAGCACTCGTTTGCCCTCACCTTACCCAGCACCTGCTGCACTTAGGAGCAGGAGCAGGAGGCCTCTAGGGATGATGATGAGTCCTCCAGGAGAACCTGGGTTGAACCAGATTTCATCCTGTGCTTTGGCCAAAACCACACCAGAATCTGTCAGATGTGCTACATCAGGAACCATCTGCAGAGGGACACAACTCTCACCCCACCCAATCTCTGTTCACGCTGGAAGCTGACTTGTTAGGTCTTGTATCTATGAGCCAGGTGCCTTACACCTATTAGCTTCCTGAATCCTCACTGTAAGCCCAGTGAGACCGGATCATTATCCCCATTTTACAGGTGGGCCCACTAAGGCTTAGACAGGTGAATCTACTTGTCGAAGGTCGTAGCGATGTAAGTGTAGTGCTGGGATTCAAACCCAGGCCGGGTAATCTCAGAAGCTTATGCCCTTCCCACCATACCTGGCTGTATCTGCTCCCACCTCCCGCCTCTGGCCTGGATGGAAGTCCACCACCCTCCATCCCTCCTGCAGCTCAGCTCCCTTCCAGGTGTGGGCTCACCTGTGGGTCCTTGCCCTTGAAGCTGCACTGCTGTTTCTTCTCTGCGTCTGCACCCCAAAGCAGCTGGGGAATGAGAAAGGGGAAGGTAGTGGACAAAATGGAGGGTTTGCTGAGCCTCCCTCCTCTCCCATAGGCATCATCCTTGGACCCAGAAGGTCAAGCTTCCCGTCCATCTTCCCTCTGTGGTCCTCTGCCCAGCCTAGCCAGCTCCAGGCAACATCTCTCACCTCCTGGTACTCCCCGCCTGGCAGGAAGCTGAGGTTGCTACTGAGTGCAAAGAGGGCCTCTCGAGCACCCACGTACAGGGTCCTGCCATCCCTGCTCAGCAGAAGGGCTGTGTAGTTGGAGATGTGTTCAGCTTCGAATCTGAGGAATGGCCGCTCTTCAGAGCCTGGGGAGAGGAAGATGGGTATTACCTGGGGCCACCCCTCCCATGGGAAGCCTCTTAACACCAACCTTTAGATGGACTGGTTTAAAGGAAGGTAATCAGCAAGGCAAAGGGTGGCAATGGCAAGGGGCTGGGGGCAGGGGGATCAGGTTTGATGGGCGAGCAGCATTCCTGGACTCTCAAACATTACATAAGAAATGATGCAGAGATGTATGTACAAGGATACTTACTACGGCACCCTTCACATTAATAAAAAACTGAAAACCAAAGAGTCCGTCCAACCAGAGGGGACCTTGTCAAAATAAATTATGATGCCTCAATCCAACTGAATACTATACAGCTGGGAAAAAAAATGATGTATTAGAAGCTCCAGAAAAACAGGCAAGAAAGGCATGGTCAAAATATCAAGCAAACTAAAATATAAAGTGATGAGTTTTGAGCACATAATAGAATATTAAGAAAGGAAAATACATTTAACACTTTCCTTTGAGTGACATTAGACCCAAAGAGAAGGAAATGTTAAGTGGGCCCTGCAGTGAATGCTATTTGCATTGACAGAGTAATGCAAATGTTGAGCATGGGCTTTTCTTTTTTTTTTGAGACGAAGTCTCGCTCTGTTGCCCAGGCTGGAGTGCAGTGGCATGATCTTGGCTCACTGCAACCTCCACCTCCTAGGTTCAAGTGATTCTCCTGCCTCGGCCTCCCAAGTAGCTGGTATTACAGGCATGCACCATCACACCCAGCTAATTTTTGTATTTTTAGTAGAGACGGGGTTTCACCATGTTGGCCAGGCTGGTCTCAAACTCCTGAACTCAAGTGATCTGCCCGCGTCAGCCTCCCAAAAAAGCACTGGTCTTTGAGACTGATGGTTATTACACAGAATGGGAGTGTTTTCAATTTTGACCTCAGAAACCAGAACTGATGACAGACAGACATCATAATATGGTAGCAGGGTTGTCACAAGCTGCTGCCAATGGCTAATGGAATAATAAATACAGGTCAAGTGTACTGTTTTATATTGCAAAGGTAACCAATAAAGGAAGTGAATACAGTACGGTGACAGAATATGTTGGGGGGAGGAATGGAAGGGAGATGTAAGTGAGGGAAAGTTAGGAATTCAAATAAGCCAAGAAATAGTGGTGTAAGTATTTTACTTAAAAATATGGAGGAAATGGGCTGGGCGTGGTGGCTCACACCTATAATCCCAGCACTTTGGTGTGGATCACCTGAGTTCGAGACCAGCCTGACCAACATGGAGAGATCCCGTCTCTACTAAAAATATAAAATTAGCCAGGCGTAGTAGCACATGCCTGTAATCCCAGCTACTCGGGAGGCTGAGGCAGGAGAATCGCTTGAACCTGGGATGCAGAGGTTGCGGTGAGCTGAGATCACACCATTGCACTCCAGCCTGGGCAACAAGAGTGAAACTCCATCTCAAAAAGAAAAAAAAAAAATGGAGGAAATAATGGTAGAACAAGAACCCTAAGAACCCTAAATGATTAAAAGTCCCTTTTAAATTGGCCTGGGGTGAGGGAGGACAGACGTTTTTGCTTTTTATAATAAGCCCTTCTATACTTAAAAATATATATATACGTGCATGTATCCTTGATACAAATTTTATTTATTTTTTGAGACTGAGTCTCACTCTGTTGCCCAGGCAGGAGTGCACTGGCATGATCTCGGCTCACCGCAACCTCCGCCTTCCAGGTTCGAGCAATTCTTCTGCCTCAGCCTCCCGAGTAGCTGGGATTACAGGCATGTGCCACCATGCCCGGCTAACTTTTGTATTTTTAGTAGAGACAGGGTTTTGCCATGTTGGCCAGGCTGGTCTCGAACTCCTGGCTTCAAGCAATCCGCCTGCCTCAGCCTCCCGAAGTGCTGGGATTACAGGTGTGGGCCACTGCGCCCAGACCTTGGTACACATTTTAAGTAGCTTTTGTTTTTGCAGAATAACAACAAGGAAAGACACGAATTATCTACCATGAAGTGAAAATTCAGGTTATATTTAGTATGTATGGTCAAATTCTATTTTTTGTGGGAAAAATATAAGCATAGGAAAAAAATCCAGAAGGATGTATCACAAAACACTAAAACATGGGCTCCCTGGTAGAATTACAGGTAGCTTTCTTTTCTTTTTTACTTGTTATCATTTTTAGATTCTCTAATAAGCAGGTTATCCTTATATAATGTGAAATATATAAATCAAAGAAAAAAAAAAAGAAACACACACACACTTACCCACCAGGGTACTGTTTATGCTTTGGGTAACTAAAGGGTTTGGAGAGAAATTATTTTTAAAATTCTAAGCAGCTGATGAGAACACAAAAACAAGCAAAGAGCAGCACCCTGACCACCCTCAGGCACGTTGTAGCGGACCAGTGGGTTATGACCACACAAACAGTCTCACGAAGCTGAGGAAGCAAAAAGTGCAACACGCCCAATCAAGCAGCTGTGAAGATGACTTCATGTGTGTTTACCTGTGGAGTGTTTTTACATACCCCCAGCCTGGTTCCATAAAGGGTGGGGAGACATGAAGAAAAGAAAGTAGTGAAATATAAACATTAAAATCAGGAGCAGAGAAAACCCAAATCTGAAGAAAAACATCTCCATCAGCAAGGAAGTAAAAATTCACGAGTAGGTCAATGAGTCTTCGCACAGCTGGTAGAGAAGGGCTGAGCCTTTAGTGCTGGGCCTCCTGGTGGCCAAAGAAAAATGGGAAATGAAGCTACTCCATCCTCAATGTCCATAAGGAGGAACACATATCAGCCATTTGGGGGAAGCTCAGCCTTTTTTTTTTTTTTTTTTTTTGAGATGGTGTTTTGCTGTTGTTGCCCAGGCTGGAGTGCAATAGCACAATCTTGGCTCACCGCAACCTCCGCCTCCCAGGTTCAAGCGATTCTCCTGCCTCAGCCTCCTGAGTAGCTGGGATTACAGGCATATGTCACCACGCCCGGCAAAGTATTTTTAGTAGAGACGGGGTTTCTCCATGTTGGTCAGGCTGGTCTTGAACTCCTGACCTCATGTGATCCACCCGCCTCGGCCTCCCAAAGTGCTGGGATTACAGGCGTGAGCCACCACGCCCAGCAGCTCAGCCCTTTTTTTTTTTTTTTTTTGAGACGGAGTTTCTCTCTTGTTGTCCAGGCTGGAGTGCAATGGTGCAACCTACACCTCTCAGGTTCAAGCGATTCTCCTGCCTCAGCCTCCCAAGAAGCTGGGATTACAGGTGCCTGCCACCATGCCCAGCTAATTTTTGTATTTTCAGTAAAGTCAGGGTTTCATCATGTTGGCCAGGCTGGTCTCTCGTACTCCTGACTTCAGGTGATCCGCCTGCCTCAGCCTCCCAAAGTGCTGGGATTATAGGCCTGAGCCACCGCGCCCAGCCGAAGCTCAGCTTTACACCTGGCAGCAAATGGGGAAGGAAGCCCTCGGGTGGGGGTGACACTAGTTAACAGGATGACGGGGGTCAGGTGGCTGAGCCACCGAGCCCGGCCCTCAAGTAGGCCCTTCTGTCAGGCAGCAGAGACATCGTCTCAATGAGCTGCAGTTTCTCATACATGTCACGGGAGGAATGAGACATATAAAGATCACAGGAGTCTCAAGAGGAGTGAGACCAAGACAGACACTGCGGTCCCTTCTTATCTTTTGGATTTTTCCATAGTTCTCTGGAAGCAAGGGCTGGTTCAGATAAGCTGGTTGCCCGTGCTTATCTACCTGCAAAAGAGCGTTTCCACCTGGGCAGGCCCTGTAAGTCTGGGCAGCAGACCGCCCTTGGAATCTGTCCAGACAAAGAAATGCCAAGAGTCAGAGATAAGCCTCAGTCCCAGGTGGCAACTCAATCCCACTTACGCCTGGGAGAAGGGGTGGAAACCTGCCTCGGGCACTACAGAGTGCAGCCGGCTGGAGGGGAAACCTATAGACCAGCCAGTCCCTGGTTCAGCCCAGGCCTCCAAACGAGCCAGCCACAAGCCCTCCAGCCATGCTGGGAGTAGAGTGAATGAAACGACAAAGGGACAGAAAGGGGAATGTGCCTTGGAGAGGGGGGTGAAGGGCCCCTTAACCAGGCTTTCCCCTTCTGGGGCTTCCCTTCCACACTTGCCTCATCTCTCTGCCCTGAGAGTCAGACTGAAAGCCATGGTGTGCAGAGTAGAGTTAGAGACCTGGGTTCAAAGCCATCCTCTACCACTTACTGGCTGTGTGCCACCAGGACACGCCACTTAACCTCTCAAAGCCCCGTTTTCCTTATCTGTAAAATGGGGAAAATAATAACACTTTGCCTCATGGGGTTGTTATTAGAAAAAATGAGATTACGTATGTAAATAATAATATACATAATAACCCACATTTACTGAGACAGCTTTGCTAAAACAACGTTGCACATGGTTTGCAGTGTGGCATGGTGTCTGGCACGCGACCAACACTCAATGAGTGACTCAAAAACAAAATCCAAAAGCCCCGCAGGAAAATCCGGCCCGGTGAGAGCTGGCAGAAGGGCAGGGCTCCTTGCGGGAGTCGGGCCTCCCTCATCCAGGGGGTTCACGAACTTAGCCTGGGCGATTCTAACTTAGGCACGCACCTGGTCACACGAGGGTCTCATGGCCAAAGCCAGACGGCATCAGCTCAGAAACAGAGACTTGCGTGTCACAGGCTCGTGTTGTGGGCGCGAGCTGGTCTGTGCTCGGTGTGAGTGGTGTTACTGTCTAAGGGCCCAGGTGCTTGGGTCACCTCCAGAGTGACTGCAGACGTCTGTGAAGGACCCTGCCTGAGCTTGCCTGTGGTGTGTGTGTGTGTGTGTGTGTGTACACGGTACCGCAGGGCTTGTCCACGCTTGCGCACTCACTCCTAGGTGCTCTTTGTGCAGGGGTGGAGGTGTTTCTGCACTTTACTTCCTGCGAGGGGCTGGCGCACCTTGGGGTCAGTCTTAAGCTTTTATGCTCTCCCTTGTGTCAAAGAGTGTCTCGCTCGCTCTCCTGGGCTGCCTGTGCTGCTCGGACATCCTCTAAATCCATCTATCCAGTGGGTTAGTCCAGTATGAAGAAAGCAGGGCACGCCGAGGCTGCGGCCGGTTTTCCCATTCAGGGTGAACCCTCTCCCTCCACCCCGACAGGCTTCAGCCAGGGGCTTCACCAAGGCCAGTGCATCCCACTAGGCAGATCATCCTTCAAAAAGGCAGACCGGGGCTGGTCTGGGGCTGCCCTGTCCCTCCCTGGAGGGAGACGGCACATGGAATGGGCACATAAGAGTCACCTGCAGGGTCCCCACTCCCCACCCCAGGAAGTGGGGTTCTGAGTAGGAAGTGGGGTTCTGAGTAGGAAGTGATGTGGGAATACTCAGCCCTCAGCCCCATGTAAGGGTCCTCCTTCCCTGTGACTCAGCCGGAAGCCTGGAGCTCTCTGGGGTGAGACAGGAATAGGGCTCAGCACCATCCCCACCCTGGTTAGTCCCCACCCCAGGCCAGCCAGCTAGCTGCAGCAGCGCTGTGACTCAGAACCCCACCCCACCTTTCTCTCTACTGTGGCTCCGGGCACGGCAGCAAGACGCTGACCTGGCCCTAACATCCCACCCTCTACAGGCCCCAGCAGGATCAGGCCAGAAAACACCAGCTTCCCTGTGGAGTCGGTGGGGAAGGGGCCTCCAATGCAAGGAGGCAGCCAGTGGCCTCCCCCACTCTCAGAGAGGGGTCTGGGCGGGACAAGTCCCCAGAGAGCCTCCTGAAAGGCTGTTGTAGCCCTTCGTCCCCAGGGATGTCACGATAAGTCACCAGAACCTTGGACCCACTTACCCCAGCAGCAGCCCCACCTCCAGGGCAGGAGTGCTGACGGGGCCACAGTCAGCAGGAAACTGGGACACACTGCCAACCTGGGTGCACTTCCTTCCTCCACACGGCCCGTGTTGGGCAGGGCAGCCACTTCTTCCTCATGGAGCATGGAGGAGGGGGCCACATTCTGCTGACACCAGCCCAGTGCCAGAGTCGAGTCCCTGACCAGGGACTCTGGGCAGAGGTTGGGGGTATTGTGTGCCAAGGGTCCTCCCATGGACTGAGGTCACCAAGAAAGTGGCAACGAGGGCAAGGGAACCTGGCCTCACAGCATCTGTGCTCCTGGGGCATGCCCCGGAAAGCCATTGCTACAGCCCCAAGTGGGCAGACGAAGAGCCTCTGCCAGAACCCCCAGGCAGTCCCAGTCCCGACCTAGGGCCTGTGCCATGGGTGCACAGACCACTGCCGTCACCTTAGGAGCCTGCCTGCCGCCTGCCTGCTCACAGGTCTACACAGGGACACGCTCAGTCCCTCTGCTCAGGGGCTGGCTCCCCTCTAACAACCCGGCTTCTAGGGCCTCTGCCCTGGGTCTGCCTTCCTGCTTTTATAGATGTCTCCACTTCTTCCAAGGAAATCGGGGTCATCAGGCATAAACAACCTCAACTTCCCACCCCATCTCCTCAGAGACCAAATCCTATGTCACCAACTCTACCTGTCAGAAAGCAGTTTTTGTTCCAATGTCCATTCTAGAAACTTTTGTGCCTCCCTCCACCTGCCTTAGACAAGCTCCCAAAGAGAACAGCCACCCCATGCCATCTCTGCCTCTCACCTTCCACTCACTCCTCCACAGAAGTTGGGCCTCAGCCAGCCCCACGTTCAGCAGTGCCAGCCCTGCCAAGAGCCCAGGGATCGCCTCGCTGACAGACCCCAGACACGGGCCACGCCACCCCGTCCTCTAGGTACCTGTGCCCCCAGTCTCAAGCATCACTCCGTGTCTCCCTCACATGCCTTCTGGGCCTCTAGCCCTCAAAGAGCTAAAGTATGTGAGCACTTTCTCAGCCCTTTAAACGGATTAAGTCATGTCATCCTCACAAGGCTGCTGTGTTTTATTACCTCTGTTTCAGGTGCAAGTCATCCCCGGGAGGAGTGGTGGGGATGCCGCCCGACCCTGGGCCACCTGGCTGCAGCATCTGTGTTGATGACCACCCTCCTGCCTCAGGCTTTGCTCCTGAATGTTCTTGCTCTCTAGGTCTGTCTGCTCCTGGCCCTGCTCTTCTTAACTCCGTTCAAGCCCCTGGGTCACACGTCCATGCTCATCACTTCAATGACGCGGATGCTGGCGATCCCCAAATCTCCTCATCCAAGTGCAGATCTTCCTCCAACACACCAGACCCCACAGTGCAGAAGGGCCTCTGTGGGTGCCTCCCACCACCTCACCGCCCCCTTCCAGTCCCACTCCCTGGCTTGGCATTTTGTGTTTGTGTGTGGCACCACTCACCTGGGTGTCTCACCATCCTCCTTCCTCAGAAGTCCAGTCTATAATCAAATCCTGCCAATTTTCTCTCAATATTTTCCAAATCCATTCCCCTCACCATCCCCACTACCGCAGTCCTGAGCCTGGCACCATCCTCTCTCACCTAGGCCACCATCACAGCAGCCTCCCAACCAGCCTCCCATCTCCAGGCCAGCTGCTATGCTGCAGCCAGAGGGCTCTCTGGGAGCCGTCACTGTTCTGCCTAAAAACTTCAATAGCACCCCGTCGTCCAAGCTCCTAACTTGCTAGTGCTTGCCACCCACCCACCTCTTGGTTCGACCAAGTGACATGGAACTGCAACTCAAGGGCCCAATTCTCTCATCTCCGGTCTGTTCAGGAAGTCCCCTCCACCCAGAAGGCTTTCCTTTTGACTAACTCACACTCATCCTTTGAGACTTGGCTCAGTTCCACCTCCTCCAGGAGGCCTTCCTGGATCCCCGGCTGGGCAAGGGCCCTTCTCCGTATGCCCATCATTTCCTGTTCACACGTCTTGTAGTGCACTGGTGACACTGTCGGATGATGGCAATGTTTGATGTTTGATGATGATGAGGAGGGTCTTTCTGCGCTCTTCTCTCTTTTTTTTTTAAGACAGTCTTGCTCTGTCGCCCAGGCTAGAGTGCAATGGCATGATCTTGGCTCACTGCAACCTTGAACCTTGGGTTCAAGCGATTCTTCCGCCTCAGCCTCAGCCTCCTGAGTAGCCGGAATTACAGGCACCCGCCATCATGCCCGGCTAATTTTTGTATATATATATATATTTTTTTAGTAGAGATGGGGTTTCACCATGTTGGCCAGGCTGGTCTTGAACTCCTGACCTCAGCTGATCCGCCTGCCTCGGCCTCCCAAAGTGTTGGGATTACAGGTGTGAGCCACCGCGCCCGGTCTTTGTGCTCTTCTTTTCCACCAAGCTGACAGCATCTTCAAGATCAAGACCATGTCTTATTCATATTTGTATCAACTGGTCAGGTGAGCTCCCAGCAGTTGTTCCATAAATGTTTGTTGACTAAACAAATGAATGACACAGTCCCAGTGAGAGTGCTCCAGCCCAGAGAGGGGCCCCAGATAAAAATGGGGCAACGTGGAGGTCCTGAAGCATCACACTCACAAAAGTGTGTCTGAGAAGCACTGCTACCACTCTGACCCCTCCCAAAAGCACTGAACACATAGAAGTATAACAGCTGACAGGAGCTCGAGACCAGCCTGGGCAACATGATGAAACCCTGTCTCTACCAAGAATGCAAAAATTAGCTGGGCATGGTGGCATATGCCTGAGGTCCCAGCTACTCAGGAGGCTGAGGTGGGAAGATCGCTTAAGCCTGGGAGGTGGAGGTTGCAGTGAGCCAAGATCTCACCACTGCAGCCTGGGTGACAGAGTGAGACCCCATCTCAAAAAAAAAAAAGAAAAAGAAAAAAAGAATTAAGTATGACAGGTGGAAGTATGACAGCTGAAAGTATGGTAGGGAGACAAGAAACAAGCTTCACGGACTGGAAGGGGCACAAGACATGTGTGTGAATCCTCACTTGATCACTGACCCACTGTGCAACCCCGAACAAATTCTCAGTCCTGAGAGGGCTGCCTTGCAGGATTGCTGAGAAGACTAAATAAACACAGTACGTGGCAGTGCAAAGCTCTGCAAAGATTAGGGGTCAGTGACCATCAATAATCAAGATGGGTTCTCCCCATGCTCCCTACTCCTCCCCTTGCTTCTTGCCTTCTACTTTTACTCTAGCCCTTTTTCACACGCAAGACTTAGGCCCCAGACACGTGCTGCTACACGGAATGGGGGTCCAACCTTACCAGACCTTCAGAAAAGCTGGAAACCTAGATTTTTATGTAAAATTTCCTAAGTTTTAAATATCAGCAACTAATTAAAATTTTTCTTTCTTTTTTTTTTTTTGAGATGGAGTTTTGCTCTTGTCTTCCAGGCTGGAGTGCAATGGCATGATCTCGGCTCACTGCAACCCCTGTCTCCCAGGTTCAAGTGATTCTCCTCCCTTAGCCTCCTGAGTAGCTGGGATTACAGGTGCCTGCCACCATGCCCAGTTAATTTTTCTATTTTTAGTAGAGATGGGGTTTCACCACGTTGGCCAGGCTGGTCTCGAAACTCCTGACCTCAAGTGGTCCACCCGCCTCGGCCTCCCAAAGTGCTGGGATTATAGGCGTGAGCCACCGCACCTGGCCTAATTAAAATTTTTCTAAAGAACTTGGAAGTCAAACAAAATGTATCTCCAGGCTGGCTGTGGCCCACTACCCTTCAGTTTGCAAACTTCTGTCTGAGATGTGTGCCTCAGTCTCCTGTGTGCCACATGTCTGCCAGCTCTGCCCTCTTCCCAACTATGGCCATGCAACCAGGGGCCTCGGCTGGATCCCCTGCCCCGTCCAGAGACTGACCTCAACAGATTTCTTTAACAGATGGAAAAATATAACCTGCAATTATTCAAGGGCTGAGCCGGGTCATCTTGCTGCTTTTGTACGATTCACAGGTGAAGCAGGAGGCAGCTGTTCTAATGGAAAGAATGTGGTTGCTGAATCGAGAACTGTGGCCCAAGGCTTGGTCCCAAACTCTTCTATAGCTGCATGACCTTGATAATGAGTTAGCTTCACTGAGCTTTGGTTTCCTCATCTGCATGAGATAAAGCAATGCACTTCCACATCCAACAGCAGTGCCTGGCACACAGGGAGTGCACCGCAATGGCCGCTTTTATTTGCTCTTCCAGTTGGCCCCCTTCCTAGAGGATGGGCCAAAAGATGCCAAAAAAGAGGACACGAGTTGGCTAATTTGGCTCCTCTTTAGGAGTATGGTAAAATGATGGCTTCTGTCTCCTACCTACCATCCCCACTGAAACCCCCTCGCCACAGGCCCCCCACCTCTCGGAAGCCTGTTAAGACTACAGGATGGGCTTCCAGATGGATCCAGGAGTGCAGAATAGAGCTTCCATGCACAACAAGTCAGATCACAGGCCTGGGAGGCAGAACTCTAGCAGCTGGACAGAACACTCCACCTCTGTGTATCACTCTGTAGCCACTCTACTCTTCTGTGACCATCTCTGCCACAGGGCAGGAGCCACCCCTTAGTGTTCCAGTATTCAGTGCCCAGAAGAGGGTCGATGGTGAGCTAATAAGTATAGAGCCGCTGTGGGCACCAGGCTTTTTTTGTTTTTTTTGTGAGCCAAAGATATTTTCTTCATTTCTTGCATTAGAAGTTCTCTCTGATGACATGCTTGGCCTGAGACTCCTTGCCATAGTCCTTAACTACTATACAACTGCAACCAACCACTTTACGGGGTTTCCCCTCTCTGTCAATTTGACAGAGACCTACCCATTCCCCCAGTTTCTTTTGTCATCAACCTTAATTAGGTTGATTTGGTGCTCAGCACAAAGGGCTTCCACCAACTTGACATACACAGTCTCATCACCGTTGGATGCAAGCACACAAAGATGGGCTTGGCGCTTGTCTAAGGCTTTGGTAGCTTTGCGAATTCCATGTGCTAGGCCATCGTGGATGAGGGCTGTCTTCAACAGCTCTTGTAAAGCAGCATTAATGTCCATTACCCCTCCAGCAGCAATGCCTTCCTCGGCCATGGCAGTGGGTTACGGGTGAAGCCGAATCTTGAACGCAACTGAGCCTGAGCCTCCGTCTCTGCATGACTTGGTGGCAGCAGGGAAAGAGCCACCAGGCTTTTAATTATCTTATCTTACAGACAGGATAGCTGTCCCACATCCAGCACAGGGAGGTCAGAATGTGAAGAGGAGGGGCAGGGAAACCAGCTGGGGAAAAGCATGGAGAATGCAGTCCAAGGGAGCAGACTTCCCAAAAAGCTAATCTGAGGGAAGGCAGGCCTCGACCACAGGAGTCTCGCGTTGTGTTGTTCCTGTTGCCCCGATCCCCAGGGAGGGCCACATCAGAGGCCCCCTGAGTCCTGCGCCAGCCTGAGCACCCATGGGGGTGGAGTGAGAGGCAACAGGCTCTAAGAAGATAAAGGAAGGAGTGATTGATGACATGACCCGAGTCTAGCCTTTTCTCCAGGCCCCGTGCCACCCTCTGTCTCTTGCCTAGAGGATGAACATGCTGGTATATCCAGATATGCCCCAAAAGTTGTGCAAGTTTAGCGCTCTCCTGGGTTGGCACAGAGGTATTTCAACACCAGCTGGATGTGGGTTGTGCTGAAGGCAGAGCAGAACCAGTGAAGGGCAGGCAGGGAGAGGCATGGTCCAGCCCCATGCAGAGGAGGTTCTTCAGGCAAAGGAGGACTTTGAAAAGGCTGAATCAGGAGCACTTAATAACTGGGCTATAATTAAGCAGGACCCCTGGTAATGACCTCCAATCAGCTCCTGGGGGCCTTGCTTTGTCTTTTCTACCAGGGCAGGCACTAAGCCTGACAAGGCTTGGCACCTAGCAGAGGGCCTGCATACCACCAGTGTGCACAAAAATGGATGCAAATAACCTCACCAAGCAAGGCTGGCAGGGGGTTTCTAGCACACCAGAGCAGAAGCTACCTTTTTACTACGGATGCAGCATGTGCCAGGCACCATGCCAAACACTTTACATACATTATTTCATGTAATCCTCTCAGAACACTGTGAAGATGGCCATTATTCCTCTCTTGCTAATGTGAAAATGGGCCTGGAGAAGGCCAGGAGCTTGCCCAAGGTTGTGCAGTTAGTAAGGGTGGCAAGCTACTTTACAAAGCCAGGCTCTGAGCATCCGCAGTTAGAGCGCCTTCCACTCACCTCTGCAGAGCCAAAGAGATGCTGGCCCATAGGACAGAGCTGGGGACAAAGGCTCATGTCCAGTTGAGACCATGTCAAGGAGGGAAGCCAGTAACCGGGCTGAGGGCTCAACAAGCGACCAGCATCAGGGCTTCCCAGGGCAGCCTTGACCCTGGCTGCCTCCTCCAGGGCCAGAGGGCAAGCAGCTGATTTGTGCCAAATGCTCCATTCTCTCTGCTCAATGGCGTTTTGTTGACTGCAGTTTGCAGGCCTGCAGATTTCTGTCCAATCTGCTTCAGAAATACTGCGTCCAGAGCTTTCCCGCCCGGCACTTCTGGGGCAGGAGGGAATTAATAACTCCCTTTAAGGCCGGATGTGGTGGCTCATGCCTGTAATCCCAGCACTTTGGGAGGCCAAGATGGGCAGATCACCTAAGGTCAGAAGTTCGAGACCAGCCTGGACAACATGGTGAAATCCCATCTCTACAAAAATACAAAAATTAGCTAAGCATGGTGGCGGGCACCTGTAGTCTCAGCTGCTCGAGAGGCTGAGGCAGGAGAATCACTTGAACTTGGGAGGTGGAGGCTGCAGTGAGCGGAGATGGCATCACTGTACTCCAGCCTGGGAGACAGAGCGAAACTCCATCTCAAAATAACAATAATAATAACTCCCATTAAGTGTCCAAATAAGGTGGCCCAAAAAGACTTTGGAGGGCCATGAGAGGAGGCGTGTTTTGTTTCTCCCCACGTGGCCAGGCTGGGAAGCACTGGGCGCCATTGTTTCTACTCAGCACCACTCCTGCTCCTGACCGAGGCTTTGGTCCTGGAGCTCTGCATGGTAGTTCCAACGCAAGAGAACCCAAATTCCACACACTTCTTTGAAGTGTTCCTTTCAGAGATTTCCAGCTGACTGTGGAGCCCCCAGTGGCTGTCCCCTCATCCTCCTCTCCCTACTGGCCACTGGGCGAGGCCACAAATCGGCTCCCTGCATCTTAAGCACCCCAGGAATGTGCTGTTCATCAACAATAATTAGGGTTCCCTATGAAGGACCCCAGATGCAGGGCAAGCTGGACGCTCCACTTCAAGGGATTTTGTTTTAAACCACAGACATAGCCCCACTGTCCCTAGGCATCTGGGTCCTTACGGGGCATGGGTGGGAATTCAGTAGAGGAGTGAGTGGCAGGAGGAAAGAGGGGTGTGTAATATCCAGTTCCATGACTCTTTCTCCTAAGATGCATGCAAGGGAGGGCACTAGGGCCCTGGGCCCGGCGTCCCATGGTCACCACGAGCCTGCCCAGGATGGGCACACTGCCAGGAACATCTAATGAGCCCCCTGGGATGAGGCAGGAAACCGCCTTAGGCCACACTCAAGGGTGAGCCTGTTCAGTTACCAGGGCATTCCCCTCTCGGACTCCCAGCCAGCCCTAGGACCTGCACGTAGGTAAGAGTAGGAGGTGGGTATGAGGGCCAGGAGGAAGCCCAGAGAGGGGGCACTCCAGGGTATAGTGGCAACTCAGTCGACTATAGATACGTGCTCACAAGTTCAGGTAGCTAGGTGCCACTACACTATTCCAGGGCTTTGGTGGGACTGGAAAAATGGGCCACTCCGGGCAGACCTAGCCCCAAGAACATAGCAGAAGGGGTCTTTTGCTCCAGGACTCTTAGGTTGGAGAGCTGAGTGTGGACTGCATTTCAGGTCCTCTCAACCCTCAGCTGGGCACCTTGGTACAATGCACAAAATGCAAGCCCACCTACGGCAGCCCTGACAGGTGAATGCTGGTGCGTGACAGAAGCCTGGGAACAGTCACGGGCTTGTAGAAGTGGACCAGGTCCTGCAGCTGCATTGGTAATAATAACCAAGTATTCTAGCTGCTCCTCGGGAAGCAGGTCCCCTCGATTCCCCTCGCTGCTCTCCAGTTTTGCCTTCTAGCTACCCTGTGATTGTCCCATCCAGTTCCAGAGTTGGACATGAAACCTACCGTCTTTTGACATGGTCCCATGAGCTGGCCCAGCTTTCCCAAGGCCATAAGTGGAGTCCATTGGAGCATCTGCCCCCATCTCACCCTGCCTTCTCCCAAAAATGAGAGGGTCTGAGGGCAAAGGGAGTTGTGGCCACAACAGAAGTAGCAAGACAGCAGGCCTGGGGCTGGTTACACCTGTTCATCCTGACTTCACAAGCTGAAGCACCCAAGGGGCTACAGTCAAACTAACACCCCAACCCTGTCCTAACCCCAGGCAGAATCACCCCAGATCTGGGCAAGATGTACAGAAGTAAACTCTGAGCTGAGTAACACTCATTCAGCGGTTCCCGTACCAGGCCCTGTCCTAACGACTTTTCAAACACGAGCTGATTTAATCCTCACTACCTTGAGGTAGGTTCTGTTATTATACCTGTTTTACAGATGAAGAAATCAAGACCCAGAAACTTTAAGTAGCCTGCTCAAGGTCACATGGTTACTAAGTGGCTGAGGTAGCATTTGAACCCAGGTCATCTGCAGTATTTCAGACAGGGGTTCAGGTAGGGTTACTTGAAGCCGCTAGGGCCCTGCCTTAATTTAAGTGCTGATTCTACTATTTCCCTTTGTAAACAGGATGCTTTTAGAGGTGGGGATGCTGTGAGGAGATGGAAGTCTGGGACAGTTTCAGTCTGTAACCTCTAATTCATACATGCTTTATTCCAAGTCATACAATATGACAACCAACAAGTTAAAGGGCTTGCGGATACATCTGTTGGGCACTTATAAACTTCATACCCGAGTAACACACCTTGCAAGGCACCTACGACTGCCTATTTTGCAGATGAGAAAGGTGGGGCACTGGGAGCAGAAGGCACTTACTTGCCCAGTGGAAGAAATGGGCTTGGGATCCAGGACCCTCTGAATCTAAAGCCCAAGTGCCCCAAGAAGAGCTGGAGAAGCAACCGGATGGAAGGGAAAAGGAGAGGGAAGGGCGGAGGGCTGAAACAGGAGGTGGCCACAGAAGCAGATGTGAGGACCAGGAAAGGAACCCAGCCAACCAGGATGCTACTCCCAGGTCACTCTGAGGAGGGGTCGCGCCCAGGACTTGGGAATGTCAGCGCCCAGAGCTGCCCCCATCCGCAGTCTGTTCGCTCCCAGGACTTGGGAATGTCAGCGCCCAGAGCTGCCCCCATCCGCAGTCTGGTCGCTCCCAGGGCCTGGAGGTCTCTCCATGCTGGGGCTTGGGGCTGCACTGGCAAGCCAGGGATGGAGGGGCGGAGAGGGAGGATCGGGCGCCTGCCCGCCCACCACAGCTCCCGGCCCTGCTGCGACTTGCTGGGAATACCAGAACCCCAGTGTTTATAGGACTGCAAGCAGTGGCCTCCCTCTACCCCGAGCCGCCCTCGGGGGCGGCACCGCGGTCGGCTCTGGTCAGCATCAAAGACAAGTAGATGGGCAGGCGGACCCCGCCGAAAGTGCATCCTCCTAAGGGAACTAGGGGGGACGACAGAGCGGGCTAGACCCCATCCCTACGCAGAAAGAAAACTGAAGAAAGGGGCCAGCGGCCCCACAGCTCCCCTCTCCTCTCCCTCCCTCCGCGCAGCGCCTTGAAAAAAGAAGGGGTCCTAATGGATCCCGTGCCTCCGACAGGTCCCCTCCTTGGTCCTTTGTCACGGCCACCTCCGCACGAGGCACGTCCCCGGCAGCCTTCCTTCCCCCGGCCCGCGTCCCCGGGTCCCCGGCACTCACCCAGAGGCAGGCTGATCCGGGGGCTGAGCGCCCAGGTCGGAGGCGGCGGCTGCAGCAGGAGCAGCAGCAGCAGGAGCAGCAGCAGCGGTGGCCGAGGCGGCAGCGCGCCCCATGGGGCGGCGAGCCAGCTCCTCAGGCCCATCGCGGTGCGCAGCATTCGGAGAGCAGGAGCGACGGTGTCCCGCGGCTCGGGCTCAGGTGGCTCGGCCGGACTCACGGGCGGCAGCTCCGCCCCGCGGTCCGCCCCCGAGTCGCCCCGGGGGCCCCCGCCTCCGGACCTGGGGGGCGGGAGGTGGGAAACAGGGTCAAGTGGGCCCTGGCAAACTCAGCCCCTCCGCGGGGCACCGCAGTCCTCCCGCCGGCGCCGGCCCCGCAGCCTCGGCTTGGGCAGAGCTCACCCGCAAGCGGCGGAGGGCGGGGCTGAAGGAGGAAGTCGGCCGTGAGCCCGGCCGGCCCGCCCCCTTCCCCCTTCCTCCTTCCCGGGCGCTGGCAGCGCGAGGGGCGGCAGCTCGGGGCGCTGCCGCAGGGGCCAAGCCCGGGATCAGTAGCCCCGGCGGCCGCCGGAGCGCTGGGACGCGGACGAAAGCCGACCCCCAGCTCCCCGCCCCCACTGCTCAGACCCTCCCACCGCCGCCCAGGCCCTGGCCCCTTCCGGCTCCTCTGGGACCCTCTGCTAGTGGCGTTGGTTTGGGGACACGCTGCGTCCCCGCTATGCGCCTAGGGAGTTAGGGGGCGGATGGTGATTAGGCCTTGGTCTCCTCCCTTTAGGCGCCCCCTCCGCTCTTGCTCCTGGCGACCCCCTTGTTCCTGCGACCAAATGAACTCGGCCGAGCTCGTGCTGACACTGGGGCTAGCAGCTTGAGAGTCCAATTTTTGCACAGGTCAATCCACTGCAAGTCATGGCTGGGCATTCACTACAAGCTCAGCACTTAGTCTAGGCACCCTGCGGGCTTGTCCGCTTAATATTCTGTCCACGCGAAGCCCTCGGGTGGGGGAAGGGCAAGATTAGCTTAAGTGGGATAATAGGATTTAATGTACTGCTGAGGAGGTAAAACCTTCACAACCTGCACGTGACCCGGCAGGGGAAGGGAACCCCTAAGACTGGAGTGGAAGCCCAGAGGCACCCACCCCTAATCCTCCTGGCTCCTAACATCTCCACGGGTGGAGTTCAGCTCTGCTGAGACCAGGGGTTTCCAACTGCAGCCTGGACCATTAGCAGATTCTGAAATCAATTTAGTGGATCCCAACAGCATTAAGAAACAAACAAAACATAGAAACTATCTAAGCAATAATCTCAAAGGATAAGTAATTTTGGGAAAGCTACTTCAACTTTTCCTAAGTGTGCACAGGATTACAGAAAAATGTAGTAGTTCCTCCTGTAGTTAAGAGTCCAAAAGAGTGAAAGCCTCTGCTAGTTATTTCCATGGCAGTAGAGACCATCGCTCCATAAATTTGCTGCAATTGCAGGAAAGCTCCTCTTCACCCCCAGCCAAAATCAGCCTCCTCAGAGCACCTCTTTTCCTCTCCTCCCGACTTTCAGGGTCTGCCACATCTGCTCCCACAACAGGGATGCTGTCAAGAGGGTGGGCACAGCACCCACATGGTCCCAGGTCTCCTTTCTTACAGCTAAGTTTCCTCATGCTGCATGATTTCTGTACCTCCATCACCTTCTGTGGACATGGTGCAGGCTAGCAGCATCCCTTTTAAAGGGGCTCCCAGAACTGGACACAGAATTCCACATGGGATATGGACAGCACCAAGCACCCACAGTGCTACTATTGCCCAGGTTTGGATGCTTACTCTAAATGGGTTCAATCCACCTACAGCCAGTGATACCCAAACCCCTATCTGCCGCCTAGTCCAGCCCTGCTCAGCCCTTAACTCCAAAAGGCCTCAACTTTTTTTTTTTTGAGACAGAGTCTTGCTCTTTTGCCCAGGCTGGAGTGCAATGGTGCAATCTCCACTCACTGCAACCTCTGCCTTCTGGGTTCAAGTGATTCTCCTGCCTCAGCCTCCCGAGTAGCTGAGATTACAGGTTTATGCCACCACACCCCGCTAATTTTTTGTATTTTTAATAGAGACAGGGTTTCACAATGTTGGCCAGGCTGGTCTTGAACTCCTGACCTCGTGATCCACCTGCCTTGGCCTCCCAAAGTGCTGGGATTTCAGGCGTGAGCCACCACACCTGACCCGGCCTCAATATTTCTACTTGGCTGTCTGAAAACCATCTCGAGCCCAACATGTCCCAAACTAAGCTCCTGATCTCTCCCCCTTCTCAAAAATGTGCTCCACCTACAGCCTTCCCCATTTCATTTAATGGCAATTCCATCTTTAAATTGCTCAGGCCAAAACCCTCAGCTCCTCTCATTATCTCACTCCTCACATCCAGTCCATTAGAAAATCTATAATCTGACCACTTCCCAGCTCCCTAGGGCCCAGGCACCACCCTCTTTCTCCTGGTTACTGCAAGGGCCTCCTAACTGTTCTCCCCGTTTCCTCCTTGGTTCCCCTACAATCTATTCTCAACACAGCAGCTGGAGTGAGTCTTTAAAACACAAGCCAGGACAGGGGTGGTGGCTCACGCCTGTAATCCCAGCACTTTGGTGGGCCGAGGCGGGCAGATCACTTGAGGTCAGGAGTTCAAGACCAGCCTGGCCAACATGGTGAATCCCCATCTCTACTAAGAACACAAAAATTAGCTGGGCATGGTGGTGTGTGCCTGTAATCCCAGCTACTCGGGAGGCTGAGGCAGGAGAATTGCTTGAACCGGGGCCTGGGAGGCGGAGGTTGCAGTGAGCTGAGATTGTGCTACTGCACTCCAGCCTGGGCTACAGAGCAAGACTCCATCTTAAACAAAACAACACACAACACAAGCCAGATCAGGGCTTTCCTCTGCTCAAAACCCTCCAAGGGTTCCCCCATCTCATTCACAATGACCTTACTTGGAGTGGTCTGCAAAGCCCTCCATGTCATCCTCACCACCAGTACCACTGCATCCTCTACTACTTTTCCCCTCACTCATCCACACCAGGTACATATATAGTAGCCCGAACCAGCAGGGCCTTTGACCTGGCTGCTCCCTCACCTGGCACACTCTCCCCCTAGATAACCACAGGACTGAGTCCCTTGCTTCCTTTTGCTCATTTATCACCTTGAAGAATCTGAACTTCCTCCTAATATGCCCCTTATCTCCTTAAAAATACCTTGAGATATTTTTTCAGAGCACTCATCACTGAATAACATACGATATATTAGTTATGGTTTTTCTTTATTGTCTGACATCCCATCTCCCCCAGAATGCTGACTGAGAGGGCAGAGATTTTTGCTTATTTGGTTTGTTAAGTAATGTATCTCAAGCCTCTAGAATAGTGCTTGGCACATGGTAAGCAGGACTTCAGTAAGTACTGGATGAATGAATGAATGAATGCAACTTGAGTCACAGAATACTGCTGACTCATGTCAGCTGACAACCAGAACTATTTTTTTTATATCAACTTTGGTCCAATAAAGAGTTTTACCAGCCAGGCGCGGTGGCTCACGCCTGTAATCCCAGCACTTTAGGAGGCCGAGGCAGGCGGATCACGAGGTCAGGAGATCGAGACCATGGTGAAACCCCGTCTCTAATAAAAATACAAAAAAAAATTAGCCGGGCACAGTGGTGGGTGCCTGTAGTCCCAGCTACTCAGGAGGCTGAGGCAGGAGAATGGCGCGAACCCGGGAGGTGGAGCTTGCAGTGAGCCGAGATCACGCCACTGCACTCCAGCCTGGGCCACAGAGCGAGACTCCATCTCAAAAAAAAAAAAAATTAATTAATTAATTAATAATAAAATAAATAAATCTAGTGGTTCTGGCTCAGATGTCATCCCACTGAAGTCATGTTGAAAACTGATTCTATTATCATACATTTGGCTTCCCCTTCCAGTATGGGGTCATCTGTAAACATGATAACCATTCCTTATGCCTTTATTCAAGCTATTGATAAAAATATTGGGTGAGCAGGGCCGGGCATGGTGGCTCACGCCTGTAATCCCAGCACTTTGGGAGGCCGAGGTGCGCGGATCATGAGGTCAGGAGCTCGAGACCATCCTGGCTAACACAGTAAAACCCCATCTCTACTAAAAATACAAAAAATTAGCCGGGCGTGGTGGCGGGCGCCTGTAGTCCCAGCTACTCGGGAGGCTGAGGCAGGAGAATGGCGTGAACCCGGGAGGCGGAGCTTGCAGTGAGCCGAGATCGCGCCACTGCACTCCAGCCTGGGGGACAGAGCGAGACTCCGTCCCAAAAAAACAAAAATTGGGTGAGCAGATCTAGCACCTAAATCTTCGTTTACTTTTTTCTTTTTTATTGAGAGAGGGTCTCACTCTGTCACCCAGGCTGGAGTACAGTGGCAAGATCTCAGCTCACTACAACCTCCACCTCTCAGGCTCAAGCAATCCTTCCACCTGAGCCTCCTGAGTAGCTGGGACTACAGGCATGCACCACCACACTCGGATAATTTTTGTAATTTTTTTGTAGAGAAAGGGGTTTCACCACGTTGCCCAGGCTGGTCTCAAACTCCTGGACTCAAGCGATCTGCCCACCTCGGCCTCCCAAAGTGCTGGGATTACAGGCATGAACCACTGTACCTGGCCAATCTTGGTTTCCTAATCCTACTCTCTAATAAGAGAACCAAGATTCTTTGGGTGAATGTAAGGGAAAGTACGACATAAACATGAGACATTTTGTTGGGCCAGAAAGCAATGATCAGAAACTAATGAGGCCATGTCCAAAGGACATCGGAACCAGCTTGATGACCAATCTGAGCATTAAAACATAATGAAGTAATGGATTAATACATTAAATTTAAAAACAATCCATTAGTCCACAGTGAAACCCAGAGAGAGAGAAAAAATAAGGGGTGAAAAGGAAGCTTTTCTTTACCAAAAAATGCTGGTTAATAATGTAGAAGAGGCCGGGTGCAGTGGCTCACGCCTGTAATCCCAGCACTTTGGGAGGCTGAGGCGGGCGGATCACGAGGTCAGGAGATCGAGACCATCCTGGCTAACATGGTGAAACCCCGTCTCTATTAAAAATACAAAAAAATTAGCTGGGCGTGGTGGCACGCACCTGTAGTCCCAGCTACTCGGGAGGCTGAGGCAGGAGAATCTCTTGAACTCAAGAGGCGGAGGTTGCAGTGATCCGAGATCACGCCACTGCACTCCAGCCTGACCGACAGCGAGACTCTGTCTCAAAAAAAAAGTAGAAGAAATGGTGATAGAATTAGAAAATCTAGATTCAAGTAAGAATCATCAGTGGATGGGAAACCATTGGGTGGAAGATTGTTACGAAACTATATGTTAACAAGGTCTGTCCCACAGATGACTTACTAATTACCAAAGGGAACATTTATCTCTAAGGGAGAGATCTCGGGGCCTCAATCTTAACCAATTAGACAAAAGTAGCATCATAGTAATGGGACTATTTGACGTAATTTTCCTCCTGATATGATGCAATAAGAAGTACAAAACAGGCTAAGCCCAGCAGCTCACGCCTGGAATCCCAGCACTTTGGGAGGCCGAGGCGGGCGGATCACGAGGTCAGGAGATCGAGACCATCCTGGCTAACACGGTGAAACCCCGTCTCTACTAAAAATACAAAAAAAAAAAAAAATTAGCCAGGCATGGTGGCGGGCGCCTGTAGTCCCAGCTACTTGGGAGGCTGAGGCAGGAGAATGTCGTGAACCCAGGAGGCAGAGCTCGCAGTGAGCCGAGATCGCGCCACTGCACTCCAGCCTGGTGACAGAGCGAGACTCCGTCTCGAAAAAAAAAAAAAGAGAAGTACAAAACAGGCTGGGCCCAGCAGCTCACGCCTGGAATCCTAGCATTTTGGGATGCCGAGGCAGGCAGACTGCCTGAGCTCAGGGGTTCGGGACCAACCTGGGCAACACGGCAAAACTCCGTCTCTACAAAAATTACAAAAATTAGCCAGGTATGGTGGCGCATGCCTGTAGTCCCAGCTACTTCGGGGGGTGAGGCAGGAGGACTGCTTGAACCTAGGAGGTCAAGGGTGCAGTGAGCTGAGATCACGCCACTGCTCTCCAGCCTGGGTGACAAAGTGAGACCCTGTCTCAAAAAAAGAAAAAACAACAAGTACAAAACATCATCAATGTTTGCAGCATTCTTCTCAAAGGTGTGTTGTAACCCAGATCTAACAATGAAAACACAATCAGACCCATCCAGCATGAGTAGTATTCTACAAGACAACTAGCCTGGACTCTTCAGAAAGGGCAATCTAGTGAGAGGCAAAACAGACAGGGGTGGGGCTGTTTTAGGTTAAGGGACTAAAAAGACATAATAATCAAATGCAGCGAGGCGAGGTGGCTGACACCTGTAATCCCAGCACTTCGGGAGGCCAAGGCAGGTGGATCACTTGAGCCCAGAAGTTCAAGACCATCCTGGGCAACAGGGTGAAACTGGTCTCTACAAAAAATACAAAATTACTCAGGCATGGTGGTGCGCACCTGTAGTCCCAGCTACTTGAAAGGCTGAGGTGGGAGGATCACCTAAGCCCAGGAGGTCAAAGCTGCAGGGAGCCATGCTGTTGCACTCCAGCCTAAGAGACAGAATGAGACCCTGTCTAAAAAAAAACAAACAAAATCAATAGCAACGTGTGAACCTTGATTGAAGATTGAATGTTGGAAAAAAAAAAAAAGCCATGGAGCAATTGGGGAAATTTTAATATGGACTGTGTATTAGATGATATTATGGCATTCTTCATTTTTTTAGCTATGATAATGGCATTTCTCAGATGTGATTAAGTCCTGGTCTTTCAGAGACACCTGCTGAAGCTTTACAGTTGAAATGTCACGATGTCTACAACTTACTTTCAAATGATTCAGCAAAAACAAATGTGCATATATATGTATGTGCATGTACTAGAGAGAAAGAACATGAATGTGACTGGCAAAAACTGGTCAATATAGGTGAAGAGTTATTGGGTGTTTTTGTACTAATCTTTCCATTTAAAATTTTGAGTGATTAAACAAAAATGGGTGACAGCCAGGCACGGTGGCTCACACCTATAATCCCAGCACTTTGGGAGCCTGAAAATAAGTAAGTAAATAAATAAATGGGTGAGACAGAGTCACAAACGGAGCCCAATGGCACGCCACTAGAGACCTCCATCAAGGTTAGAACAGATCAATATGTTTTTTGTTTTTTTTTTGAGATGGTGTTTCACTCTTGTTGCCCAGGCTGGAGTGCAATGGCATGATATCAGCTCACTGCAACCTCTGCCTCGTGGGTTCAAGCGATTCTCCTGCCTCAGCCTCCCGAGTAGCTGGGATTACAAACATGCGCCACCACGCCCGGCTAATTTTGTATTTTTAGTAGAGACGAGGTTTCACCATGTTGGTCACGGCTGGTCTCGAACTTTTGACCTCAGGTGAGCCACCTGCCTTGGCCTCCCAAAGTACTGGGATTACAGGTGTGAGCCACCACGCCTGGCCTGATCAATATCTTTTATAGGCTGAACAACTAGCTATGTGTCCTCCTAACTGCACTGTTCAGCCCACATTTCTCCATATTATCCATAAGACTATTATGGGCTGAAAGCAGTGGCTCATTGCCCGTAATCTGAGCACTTTAGGAGGCTGAGGTGGGCGCATCACCTGAGGTCAGGAGTTCGAAACCAGCCTGGCCAACATGATGAAACGCTGTCTCTACTAAAAATATGAAAATTAGCCGGGCGTGGTGGTGCACACCTATAATCCCAGCTACTCAGGAGGCTGAGGCAGGAGAATCGCTTGAACCCGGGAGACAGAGGTTGTAGTGAGCCAAGATGGCGCCACTGTGCTCCAGCCTGGGCACAAGAGTGAAACTCCGTCCCCCCGACCAACCCAAAAAAAAAAAAAGAATATTATGAAAAAGATTGCAAGAAATCTTGTCAAAGTCAAGGTACTAGCTACATTTCCTTCTTCTACCTTCTGCCTACTGCACTCACCTAGAACAGTACCTGATGTTGGCCACATGCTCAATCACTATTTGTTGAGTCCCTGAATCTCCACATCAAGCAGATCCTAAAATGGCAGTGGGGCTGCTTTGCCCTGGTGTCTTGGCAACACATGAGTTGTGTGACTGCTGTGCTCATCTCAGAGCAGAGGAGACAGGGGCTGATGCGGCCTCACTAAGCGGATAATCATATCCTGCTCAAATGCTTCCAATATGTCTTATGTCGACTGGGCAGCAAGTCCTTTGAGGACAGTGACAGGACTTCCATCTTCCAAATCCCCACTGCCTTGCATGGCACTCTAGTAGGAACTCCACAGGGCTGACAAAATGAGGGTCCCAGCTGTCAGCCTGGAGAAGAGCCCTCGAATCCACGCCCCCAGCACAGCAGCTTTGGTCTTTGCGGGCTCCCCTTTCTTCCGTTAGTGTGCTGATGTGTTCTCCCCAGACTAGAAACCACACGAGGACACTGACAGAGAAAAATCTCCTGTGAGCAGACTTCCTGCGAGCGGGAGCGGTTCCCAAGCCAACGATGTGTCTCCTGTTCCCCTTTGCCACTCTTGGATGTTGGCGAGTCTTTCTCAGCCAGAATGCCAGTGTTTATAAAGAGCTCAGGAGGCAGCTTGGAAAGGGAGTACCAAAATAAGAGACGAAGAGAAAAGCACTGCTTCCTCCGTGCCTTGGCCAGCAAAATGAAGTCATCATCAAAGCTGGCCTCTTCTCCATCCACACTCACACGCTCTGGCACCTCCTCCCCATGGACCTTCCTCATTTTTCTCTCTCTCATACACACACACATACATACACAAGGACAGAAGCACAAGAATGTGTATAGGAATCCATTATAAAGAGGCCGAAACGAGGCCAGGCGCAGTGGCTCATGCCTGTAACCCCAGCACTTTGGGAGGCCAAGGCGGGAGGATCACAAGGTCAGGAGTTTGAGACCAGCCTGGCCAATATGGCAAAACCCCATCTCTACTAAAAGTACAAAAATTAGCCAGGCATGGTGGCGTGAGGCTGTAATCCCTGCTACTCGGGAGGCTGAGGCAGGAGAATTGCTTGAACCCAGGAGGCGGAGGCTGCAGTGAGCCAAGATCGTGCCACTGCACTCCAGCCTGGGTGACAAGAGCAAGATTCCATCTCAAAAAAAAAAAAAAAAAAAAAGCTACAAGGGAAAGAAAATAAAGGGAAGCATGGCTAAAAGTAAAAAGCAAATGAACACACATCCCTGCTGCTTCTCTACCCTGCCCAGTACAAAGGGAACAGATGCAGGGCAAGTGCCAGCAGTGTCCAGGCTACATCTGGCCTCCCAAGTGATCAATACCCATTAATCATCCATGGGTACAGCCTCTGCCCAGCTGCATGCAGGCCATGTCCTTGGGCATGGATGGTCCCTGCCAGGCGGCTCCTGGCCAGGTCTGCCTGCTCTAATTCCCACCCAGGGGAACCTGGCTCTGGAGCTCCCACAGTTCTACTCTGGGAGTTGTTGCTTTGTTTGCTGGCTGTGGGGGAGGGGCCTCCTGCCAAGCCCAGTGGAGCTTGAACCCAAAGGTCCCACCCGCCCCCTCCTGGGGTAGCACTCAAGCTCCTCCCCATTCTCGGGTGCTGACTGGCAGGCTGCCCAGCAAGGCCTCGCAGACATACACTGGCTGCAGCCCAGCTCTCCAGGCCTTGGCCCCCCACCACCATCCCCTTGTAGCCCTGAGCTCTCCTCTTATGCCAACCTGCAGCTGCAGCTCTCCACCCTGCCCTGGCTGGGCATGCTGCTGGTGTCTTCTCCCCAGGGGCTGGGCAGCAGCTCAGCTGCAGCATCAGTACATGTTGAAGAGGAAGCGACACCAGCTGGCACACCCTGTGTATTCTTTCAAATCAGCCAATGGCTGCCAAGTCCTCAGGGCTGGGAGCTTCCTTGGGGCAGCGCCTTCTGCAGCAGAGGGCATCCACCCCGGGTCAGCACTTACACTGCCTTCAAAACTCACTGGCAGCTTTTACCCAGGGTCTGGCAACAGATGTAAATAAATGGCTTCATCTCCGTTCCCCAAACCATTTTCCCCGCTACCGGCCTCTTGTTTTTCTTGCTCCTGGAAGTGGTAGAATCCAGTGGTTGAGCACACAGGTTCTTCTGTCAGAAGAATTCACTACCTTCCATATTTTGTGGACTTTTAGCAAGCCACACAATCACTCTGAACCTCAGCTTCTTCATCTAGGACGGAGTGCTATGAACAGCACTTCATGGGTGGCTGGAGAGAGTACATATAAAGCCACGGGCAACACTGGCATGTAGTGAATGCTCAGTGAGCAAGGCCATGCCTGCTATGTTATTGGTTCACCTCCCCATGAAAGTTGCCCCATGGCGTCAACAACTCTGAAGTATCTTAGATGCCCATCTCTGAGGACCCCCTTCTGGGTACTCCCTCAAGTTCAGCCACCTCCTGCAAAGCTGGTGCTGAGGCTGCAACTCTCATGGGGAGAAAGAACCGGCCCGCCCAGCCCAAGTCCCAGGTGCGTCCGCTGTGGTGAGGAGCCTGACACCCAGCACCACCCCCACTGGGGCCTGTTGGGGCCTGAGCTGGCCACTCCCTGGGAGGGGATCCCTCCGCCCCACAGGGCTGTGGGGCAATCAGCAGGGCTCAACCTGTCCCTGCCCTGACAGGGTAGAACATGAAGTTGCCACTGTCACTCCTCTGCTCCCCCAATATGAGTTCAGGAGGCGCTGTCTGCCTCTGCTTTTGCACCCACTCGCCTGTCCAGGGGAGACCAGATGGGCAACATAGGAAGACCCGGTCTCTACAAAAAATAAATTAAAAATTAGCCAGGTGTGGTGGTGTGCTCCTGTGGTCCCAGCTACTTGGAAGGTTGAGGTGCAAGGATCACTTGAACCTGAGAGGTAGAGGCTGCAATGAGTCACGATGGTACCTCCAGCTTGGGTGACAGAGCAAGACACTGACACACACACATACACACACATGCACACAGAGCAAGACACTGACACAGACACAGAGCAAGACACACACAGACACACACAGACACACACCCTGGTTCCAAAGATCCCATGAAGTGAGGAATCTACCTCCCCATTTGCTATCGAGTTATTCCCTCTAAAATCCCAGTCTGAGCACCAGACCCCTGTGAGGGGAAAAAGGAACAGGCCAGGGCCCTCCCTCCACCTCAGGAAACCAACCTTCCTTCCCAAAGGCCCAAGGCTCTCCCCTCTGCCTCTTCCTTCCCAGGGAGGAGGAGCTCTCTGACCCTGGAGTTTCCCCATCACCTCAGGTCACCTGGTGGCTGCCACTCTTACTCCCAGACAGAGCCTTGCTCTTGGTTCTGATGCTGATCCCAGAGAGTGGGCAGGAACAGGTATGCCTAGGTGGGTAGCGGGGATGCACAGACGGGTTGCCACGGATCTCCTAAGGCTCTGTAGGCTGTACTCTCACCCTGCTTTGCCAGGGTGGAGGTTCTGAGGAATGCACCACCTGTGGCAGTGTGCCCACTTGCCACCCTAAAGCAGTGGTATTAGGAGACAACACTCACAGAAAGCTGATGTGAGGGTGGCACCAAAGATCCATGCCTGGATAGGAATCTCACACAGCAGCCACCCTGCAGCACCATTTATGCACTGTGAATGAGGGTCCGGCTGGTGGGCACCACACCAGGGACTCTGGAGCCCACAAGGTTCTGAGTGAGCCCCAGCTTGGCCCTAGCAGGAGAGTGGGCTCTAAGAGGACGCACCCACGGGGCCACATGTGCTTATCTCTAGCCGTCTCATCTTTTGGTTTCCACAAACCCCTTGAAAGACGGCTGACCCTGCTTGCTCCTCCCAGCCACCTCTTCTATGAATGCTGCCTGAGTTCTTTCACTATAGCCTGTGAGCAGTGCAGCAGAGCAGGGACCCCCTTCACCACACGGGTGGGCTTCAGGGAGCTGTGAACGCCAAGAATGAGATGCCATTTCAGGAGAGAGGGAATCAGAGCTTTCATTTAATTTCAAAAGCTCCTTGCTACCAGCCCCCACTCCCCGCCAAAAAAAGTAAAGAACCATTTCTCTAAGGTGCGTTAGTCTGCAGACACAAGGAACTTTCAAAATTAGCCTTTATCAGAAAAAAAGAAATTATACCTCAGTTTGGAATAGTTATATAACCTTGACATGAAATATTTGGCAAATTCTTTCCAGCTACATCAAAGTTGACATTTATATAGCTAATTAATATTTATTGAGCACCTACTATAAGTGAGGATTGTGCCAAATTTTTACATTCAATCATTTACTTAATTCTCACTACAGGGTGAGATATCAGTTATTATTGCCATTTCAGAAGTGAGAAATTGGGGCATAGAGAGGTTCCAGGACTTACTAAGGTCACACAAGTGACAAGTCAGGACTAGGACCACAACTCAGATCTGCTGACTCCAGAACCCATATGGATATTCAACCTATAGTCAGAAATCAACCACGTTTTGTCTCAAGTTATAGCCATCCACCTCTTCTGATAATATAAGCCAATGTTTATCCTTCCTTCTTTCCTTCCCTCCCTCCTTCCTACCTTTTCTTCCTTCCTTCACTTCTCTCCTCTCCCTTCCTTCCCTTTTCTTCCTGCCCTCGCTCACTTCCTCCTTTTCCTTCCTCCCCCCCACTTCCTTCTTTCATTCATGCAACACATATTTCTTGTGCACTTGCTGCCTTCTAAGTATTGCTCAAGTTTAAGGAAACTGACGTGGTTGCTGCCTTCACAGAGCTTAGTTTATCAGGATCCTTTAAACTGTTCTTTCAGAGAATATTCATCCTGGCTGGGCGCGGTGGCTCATGCCTATAATCCCAGCACTTTGGGAGGCTGAGGCGGGCGGATCACGAGGTCAGGAGATCGTAGACCATCCTGGCTAACATGGTGAAACCCCGTCTCTACTAAAAATACAAAAAAATTAGCCGGGCGTGGTGGTGGGTGCCTGTAGTCCCAGCTACTCGGGAGGCTGAGGCAGAAGAATGGCATGAATCCGGGGGGCGGAGCTTGCAGTGAGCCGAGATAGCGCCACTGCACCCAGAGTGAGCGAGACTCTGTCTCAAAAAACAAACAAAAAAAGACAATACGTATCCTGATCTACATTTATTTTTATTTATTTATTTATTTTGAGACGGAGTCTTGTTCTGTCGTCCAGGCTGGAGTGCAGTGGTGCGATCTCGGCTCACTGCAGCCTCCGCCTCCCAGGTTCCAGCAACTCTCCTGCTTCAGCCTCCCGGGTAGCTGGGATTACAGGCATGCGCCACCATGCCTGGCTAATTTTTGTATTTTTAGTAGAGACAGGGTTTCACCATGTTGGCCAGCCTGGTCTTGAACCCCTGACCTCAGGTGATCCGCCCACCTCGGCCTCCCAAAATGCTAGGATTACAGGCATAAGCCACCTCGCCTGGCTACTTTTATTTTATTTTATTTTTGAGACAGTGTCTCACTGTGCCACCCAAGCTGGAATGCAGTGGCAGGATGATTGATGGCTCACTGAAGCCTCAACCTCCCTTGGCTCAGGTGATCCTTCTACCTCAGCGCCCTGGATAGCTGACACTACAGGCATGGGCCACCATGCTCGGCTAATTTTTGTATTTTTTGTAGAGACTGAGTTTCACCATGTTGCCCAGGCTGGTCTCGAACTCCTGGACTCAAGCGATCCACCCACCTTGGCCTCCCAAAGTGCTGGGATTACAGGCATGAGCCACCATGCCTGACCCACGTTTCTTTTCTTTCTTTTTTTTTTTTTTTGAGATGGAGTCTCATTCTGTCACCCAGGCTGGAGTGCAATGGCATGATCTCAGCTCACTGCAACCTCCGCCTCCTGGGTTCAAGCGATTCTCTTGCCTCAGCCTCCTGAGTAGCTGGGATTACAGGCATGCACCACCATGCCCGGCTAATTTTTGTATTTTTAGTAGAGACAAGATTTCACCATATTGGTCAGGCTGGTCTCAATCTCCTGACCTCGTGATCTGCCTGCCTCGGCCTCCCAAAATGCTGGGATTACAGGCGTGGGTCACTGCACCCAGCCCCCACCTTTCTTTAGACACTTTCACTCCCTTATGCTTTGTTTCCAACAAAGGTAGTGGCCACGGCCAACTTGGCAGAGTTCTAGAAGTGCTCCCAGGCTAGAATCCTGCTGTTTTCAACTAATTTCCAGAGTTGCTCCTGCGAGTTCCCTCTGCACTCTGCTCAGATTCTTATTAGGACCTCATTATGCTGCAGTGAAATACTCACTTACACATCACATCCCTCTCTTCCCTTCTCTTCTACAAGCTCCTTGAATGCAGGGACAAGGCCTGCCTAACTCAGCTTTTTCATCTCCAGCCCCAGGACAGAACATGGAAACAGCAGGTACCCAGCAAATGTCTTCTGCTCTAGCTGTCTCAAATCATTTCCAAAGGATTCATTCACGTTTTCCTTCCTGGATCTTTTCCCCCACTTTTCTGTTATCCCTTTCAAAGGAAACAGCACCACACGGATAGAGGCAGGACTAGAGTCCCATTTCCCTGCTTTAGGGAAGCTAAACAGTTTTCTTGCTTAGCTCCAGGCTCACCAGCTTTGCTGGCTTCAGAAGAGATGGTATTTTGGAGAGTGGCTGAATGCTTGGCTCCCAGGGACTTACTTTGGACCATCCTGTCCAATGTAGTCAGATACTACATTAAAGCAAGAGCCTCAAGGCACAAGACCCATGCAGCGGGGAGACTCAGCTCTCCCCAAGGCACAAGTCTCCGTTTCCCATCTTTAGTTCAACTGTTGCCAATGTCCCCAATCTTTATTTATTTTATTTTTATTTTTTTGTTTTTTATTATTATTATTTTTTGAGACGGAGTCTTGCTCTGTCGCCCAGGCTGGAGTGCAGTGGTGCAATCTCGGCTCACTGCAAGCTCCGCCTCGCGGGTTCACACCATTCTTCTGTCTCAGCCTCGCGAGTAGCTGGGACTACAGGCGCCCACCACCACGTCTGGCTAATTTTTTGTATTTTTAGTAGAGACGGGGTTTCACTGTGTTAGCCAGGATGGTCTTGATCTCCTGACCTCTCCGCCCATCTCGGCCTCCCAAAGTGCTGGGATTACAGGCGTGAGCCACCGTGCCTGGCCTTTATTTTTATTATTTTATTTTTTGTTTGCTTTTTGAGATGGAGTTTCACTCTTGTTGTCCAGGCTGGAATGCAATCACAATCTCGGCTGGCTCAGGGAACCTCCGCCTCCCAGATTCAAGCGATTCTCCTGCCTCAGCCTCCCAAGTCGCTGCGATTACAGGCATGCGCCACCATGCCCAGCTAATTTTGTGTTTTTACTAGAGACGAGGTTTCACCACATTGACCAGGCTGGTTTCAAACTCCTGAGCTCAGGTGATCCGCCTGCCTCGACCTCCCAAAGTGCTGGGATTACAGGCGTGAGCCACCATGCCTGGCCAATGTCCCCATATGGAGATTACCTGTCACCAACAGTTTGAGCCCCAGGTGCAAGGAGACATATCCTAGATTTTCCTGAGCTTCAGAAGGTATAATCTCCAAAAAGGCCAGGCGTGGTGGCTCAAGCCTATAAACCAGGCACATTGGGAGGCCAAAGTGGGCGGATCACTTGAGCTCAGGAGTTGGAGACCAGCCTAGCCAACATGGTGAAACCCTGTCTCTACTAAAAATACAAAAATTAGCTTGGCATGGTGGCACACGCCTGTAGTCCCAGCTACTCAGGAGGCTGAGGCAGAAGAGTCACTTGAGCCAGGGAGGTGGAGGTTGCGGTGAGCCAAGATCGCGCTACTGCACTGTAGCCTGGAGGATAGAGCAAGACTCCGTCTCAAAAAAAAAAAAAAAAAAAAAAAAAAATCACCAAAAGAAACGGCCATGGCCTGAGTTCAAATCCTGACCTTCCCACTAACTCACTGTCATCTTGGGAAGCGATTTAATCTCTCTGGCTTCAGTTTTCCTTATGAAAATGAGGGGGGATGGGCCAAGGTGATTTCTACATCTTTTCCAGTTCTAAGGCATTATGGGGAAAAAAACTTTTTAAAAGTTTGTATGCTTCCCGCACAAAATTTTAAGGCATTTCAACCTTTAGAGGAATCCTGTGTTTAACTCAAATAACATACCCATATTACAGGTGAGGAAATGTGGGCAGAGATTTGATGACCTTCCCGAGATGACCCAGGGCTCCTTCGCCTTTCTGCTAGACCAGAATAACTCCCGAGTAGCCGCAACTGCAGCTTCATGCCCAGAACCTCAACTTCCTTCTCCTTCTAGCCTTCTCCTTCTAGCACCTTGGTGCTCAGTGAGAAGAAAGAAGCCATGACAAAGGGCCTAACTCGGAGGTCATATCCACGACCATTCCGCAGGGGCCCAGGCCTTTTCCGAATTCCAAATGACTTCCCCCCAGGACCAGGTCCCGGGTTTAGGAGTAGGGGTGGTGCACTGGCGCGATGTGAACGCTGCTCAAAGGCCCCCGGTGGCCATGGGAACGCGGGCCCAGCCTCCTGCGCTGCCATGGCAACAGGCTCCCCGGGCGGCGGGCCCCAGTGCCCATCAGAGCGTGCAGGTGGCGCCTTCTGGGGAGAGGGGCCGGGCGGGAGGTGCGGGTGCAAGGGTGGGGGCAGCGGCTGCGCGGCGGTTTTCGCCTGGTCCGCCACCTCCCGGGCAGCGGCTCCCACCTCGCCAGGCACCCCCCGCGCCTACCTGGAGTGAGTCAGGGTCAGCGCACGGTCATCGCCCCCCGCGGGGCCGCTCTTCCTGGAGTGTCCACTGACTCGTCCCCCTTGCCAGGCCGGCCCGGCGCAGCCCCTGGGGACCCGGAGTCTCGGGCGCACAGCCTCAGTCCGGCGCGGCGTCCCCGGAAATGCTGGGCCCCCGCCAAGCCCCGCCCAGCCCCGCCCCGCTCTGCCCGTGTTTACGGGAATTGTCCAGAGGGCGCCTCCGGGATTTGCCTGATGCGGGCCGTGCCCCCCGCCCCACCACCGCCACCGGCCCCCGGCCATTTGCACCAACGATGGACTCGATGCCACGACCACCCTGGCCTGTCGGGTCCGCCTCCCCACGACCGCTGGTCGGCCCAAGTTAGCCGTGGAGCCCAAGGGACTGTGCGGTCCTTCACCTTGGGAGACTCGGCCTCGCTGGACCTGGGCCACAGGGGGCGGCCTCACTAGCTGGAGTCTGGGCTGGCCCGGGTTGAAATCCTAGATCCACTCTTACCTAACTGGCTGTGTTACGTAGGACGAGTTCCTTAACCTCTCTGAGCCTGGAGTTTTTCATCTGTAAAGTGGGCATCAGAACACTAGAGATCTCACAAGGCTGTGATGGGAAATGCAATGGTGGAGGCACACACCTGGCACATGGTCAGCTCTCAAGAATGGTAATATTGTTTACAGAAGGAGGCAAGTGAGAGAGAGGAGGGCAGATCCACACTCTGTGAAACCACCCACGTCTCCACCCGAGATAAATGCTGCTCACTGCTCCCTTAACATGCAGTGGGCGGGCGTGCTCAGAGAGTAAAACGAAACGGAGATCTGCAGGAGGGGTGAAAGATAGGGTTATAAATATCCCGCATTTATGAGGTGACCTTGGCTCCTCCCTCTCCACTCTTGCGTCCCGGTGCTATCTTCCAGGAAAGCAACGGCAGCTTTCAGGGCGGTTACTGAAACAACCAGTTCTGGACTTGTAAGTGGCTGAGCTGGCCTGAACTGACGGGTCAAGGGACTGCAGAAACCAGAGGCCAAGTGGCAGCCCGTTCCAGGGCCGGGCAGGCCTGGCCTAAGTGTACATTGTCCTTCTGCAGCCTCTCCTCTCCGGGAATTGCTGCCTAGCTCCTCCAGAAAAAGAAAAAAGTGGTTACTTTTGTTACCTCTCTATAAAAGTAAACACATATTTAGTACAAGAAAGTTAGACAACAGAAAAACACAATTAAAAATAATATCACTCATAATTTCATTTTACCTACACATTGGCATCAACCTTGTTAATTTTTTTTTTTCCGAGACGGAGTCTTGCTCTGTCACCCAGGCTGGAGTGCAGTGGCTCGATCTCAGCTCACTGCAACCTCTGCCTCCCGGGTTCAAGCAATTCTCCTGCCTCAGCCTCCCAAGTAGCTGGGATTACAGGTGTCCGCCACTGCACCTGACTAATTTTTGTATTTTTAGTAGAGACAGGGTTTCACAATATTGGACAGGCTGGTCTCGAACTCCTGACCTCGTGACCCACCCGCCTTGGCCCCCCAAAGTGCTGGGATTACAGGCGTGAGCCACCACACCCGGCCGTCAGCGTTAATATTTTTTAAAACTTTTTAAAAATTAAGATTAATTTGCATGTAGTAAACTGCACAAATCTTAGGTATACTGGTGTTAATATTTTGGTGAATATCTTCCTGTGTGTTTCCTATGCATAATTATACACTTACATCTTTTAGAAAAAAGATTATTCAATACATACTGTTTTCTAACTTTTACTTAGGACAGCATTCTATTATGTTTTTCTTTTCTTGTTTTTGAGATGGAGTCTCTCTCTTGTTGCACGGGCTGGAGTGCAGCGGTGCGATTTCGGCTCACTGTAACCTCCACCTCCCAGATTCAAGCGATTCTCCTGCCTCAGTCTCCCAAGTAGGTGGGATTACAGGCACCCACCACCACACCCAGATAATTTTTGTATTTTTAATAGAGACGGGGTTTCACCACGTTGGCCAGGCTGGTCTCGAACTTCTGACCTCAAGTGATCTGCCTGCCTTGCCTCCCAAAGTGCTGGGATTACAGGTGTGAGCCACAGCACCCGGCCTATATCGCATTTTTCTATAACATTAAAAATTCTTGCCGGGTGCAGTGGCTCACGCCTGTAATCCCAACTCTTTAGGAGGCTGAGGTGGGCGGATCACAAGGTCAGGAGTTCAAGATCAACCTGACCAACCCCGTCTCTACTGAAAATACATGGGGTATTCAGTAGAGATGGGGTGAAGCCCCGTCTCTACTTAAAATACAAAAATTAGCAGGGCATGGTGGTGGGCACCTGTAATCCCAGCTACTCAGGAGGCTGAAGCAGGAGAATCGCTTGAACCCGGGAAGCAGAGGTTGCAGTGAGCTGAGATCACACCACTGCACTCCAGCGTGGGCAACAGAGTGAGAGTCCGTCTCAAAATAAATAAATAAATAAATAAATAAATAAATAAATAAATAAATGTAAGAATTCTTGCATACTTTCATTTTAATGTATTCTATCACACGAATGTACCGTACATTTTTAACCAAGTGGATATTTAAGTTGTTTCTAATTGTTTATTATCTTAAGTAATGTTGAGATGAGCATCCTTGTCAATAAACCTTTATGCACTTCCTGAATTGTTTCCTTTTGCCCCTTATATTCTTTCTTCCTCCTTATAGTCATCCAATTAGTAGCAATATGTACTGCGTTTATAACTAAGGCCATGAACTTGTGCAAACGGCTTTTAAAATCCTCTCAATCCTCTTATGAGCTCTGCCTTTCAAACAGTGCTGGGGTGGGGACACTCCTTGCTAAGGATATGGAAAGCACAGCTAAATTAGGGGTCTTGCCTTAGGTCACCCAGCACCTGCAAGCTGTGCCTTGCAAGAGGCGATGTTAAAAATCAGCACTTCTTTCTCCATAACACCCTCTAGAAAAAATATTAACATAATTAAAACAGATTTAATAAAAATTAAAATCAGCACTTCCAATTTTCCAGCACACAGAGCACCTTGGGAGCACCACTGCTCAGAGAAGCACCTGGAAACTAGGACTCCCCCGTGGGGCCTCAGAGCTCCTCAGGGATTCAGCTAGTGGTCCCCAGACCAGAAGAGTACTTTCCACTGCCCACTCCGGCACCTTCTCCCTCCTCCCTTTTCCTGCTCCTTCTCCTCCTCCAACCTCCTCCAGTCTTCTATTGAACAAAGGGAAAAATCTTTAAATAAAGATTTTTGAATCTTTATTTGAAATAAAGCCCTGTCTTTAATGTTATTGATCCCCCCTTCTCTCATCTCCTCCCCCGACCCCCAACACACATACCCTTTCCTCTCTGCAGGACCTCAGGTGCAGAGAAGTTTGACTTAATACCTTTTCGGTTCACAGCACATTATTATCATTTGTCTGCACAGGGACCCTTGATTAATGTAGCTGTTTATTTCATTCCTCCTCCCGCTCCCTCTCCTGATAGAAAACCATTAAGGTGTTTAATATACATGTTTTTGTTCTTACATGTTCTTTAAAATGTGTAATTTTAGAATTAGATACATGTTTTTGTTAACTTTTTTTTTTTTTTTTTTGAGACGGAGTCTTGCTCTGCAGCCAGGCTGGAGTGCAGGGGCACCATCTCGGCTCACTGCAACCTCTGCCTCCTGGGTTCAAGCGATTCTCCTGCCTCAGCCTCCCAAGTAGCTGGGACTACAGGGACCCGCCACCATGTCTGGCTAATTTTTTTTGTATTTTTAGTAGAGACAGCGTTTCACCATGTTGGCCAGGATGGTCTCGATCTCCTCACCTCGTGATCTGCCCGCCTCAGCTTCCCAAAGTGCTGGGATTACAGGTGTGAGCCGCCGGGCCTGGCCTGTTAACTTTTTAATTTTGAAATAATTATGGATTCAGAGGAAGTTGCAAAATAGTACATAGTGTCCCATGAACACTTCACCAGCTTTCCCCAGTGATGAACTTATATAATTGTAGTAGAATAGCAAAATCAAGAAATTGACATTGGTCAATGCTGTAAATAGACTGCAGACCTTATCGTTCAGTTTTTGCATGCACTTATTTGTGCCTGCACATATATATGTGCGTTTAGTTTTATGTAACTTGAACCCATGAATGCATTTGTGTACCGACCACCACCATCAAGAACTGTTCCATCCCTGTGGGGTACTCCTTCACGGTACCTCTTTATAGTCACACTCCTGTCACTGTCCTCTCACAACCATTAATCTCTTCTCCATCTGTATAGTTTTGTTATTTCAAGAATGTTATGTAAATATAGTGCATAACCTTTTGAGATTGGCTTTTTTCTTTTTATTTTTTTATTATTTTTTTTAAGACAACGTCTCTCTCTGTCATCCAGCCTGGAGTGCAGAGATTGGCTTTTTTCGATAACCATAATGCCTCTGAGATATATCCAACCAAGTCACTGTGTGTATCAATAGTTCTTTCCTTTTTATTACTGAGTAGTATCCCATGGAATGCATGTACTAGAGTTTAACTTTTTATTTTTTTGTACAGATGGGGGTCTCCCTATGTTGCCTAGGCTGGTCTTCAACTCCTGGGCTCAAGCAATCCTCCCACCTCAGTCTCTCAAAGTACTGGGATTACAGGCATAAGCCACCATATCTAGCTCAAGTTTATTCACCCATTGAATTGAAGGCTATTTGGGTTGTTTCCAGTTTTGGGCTATTACAAATGAAGCAACTCTAAACATTTGTGTACAGGTTTTTATATGAATGTAAGTTTTCATTTCTCTGAGATATATGTCCAAAGAATGCCATTGCTGTGTCTTATGGTAAGTGCATATCTAGTCTTATAAATTGCCATGATTTTTTGCAGAATGGCTGTACCATTTACATTTCCACCAGGAATGTGGAGAGAGATCCATTTTCTCCACACTCTTGCCAGCATTTCCTGTTATCACTGTTTTTTATTTTAGCTGCTCTTATAGGTGCATAGTAATATCTCATTGTGATTTTTTTATTGTAATTTTTTTTTTTTTTTTTGAGAGGGAGTTTTGCTCTCGTTGCCCAGACTGGAGTGCAATAGTGCAATCTCGGTTCACTGCAACTACCACCTCCCGGGTTCAAGCGATTCTCCTGCCTCAGCCTCCCAAGTAGCTGGGATTCCAGGCATGTGCCACTGCGCCCAGCTAATTTTGTATTTATAGTAGAGACAAGGTTTTACCATGTTGGCCATGGCTGGTCTCAAACTCTCAACCTCAGGTGATCCACCCACCTCGGCCTCCCAAAGTGCTGGGATTACAGGTGTGAGCCTGCCTCATTGACTCATTGACTCATTGACTTTTTTCTCTACATTACTGGCATCCTCCAGAACCCCTGTCTTTCCTTGCTTCTGCTCCATCCTGCATCTCTCCCCTATCTTCCTCTCCTTCCCCAGGACCTGAGGCATCCCCATGCCCCTCTTGAATGATTGTCTTCCCTCCTCTGATAAAAACCCTGAGGCTATAACAAACTGCTGGAAGAAAAAAAAAAAAAGCCCTGAGGCTGGCCACCCACCTCTGGCCACTTCCTTGTCACTAGAGACTTCGCATGTGGCTCCCAGTTCTTCACCTAAAGCTCCAGTCACTGTCTTGGTGACAAGTCCTGCATCTACTTTCTTACATCTCTGGTGACTTCCCTGACCCCACTTCAACCGCCACTCCAATTTTACCAGCAGTCACAGCTCCATCAGCAAGATCCCAAATTCAGGCATCCCAGTCTCTAACTCCCTTCTCTTTTCCTTCCTACTTCCTGGTTTAACACACTCGCTCAGACCTTCCTTGGACCTCAGCAGCCTCTCCAGGTCACTGATGTCCCACCTTCTCCTGATCCACTAGCCTTTCTCCCTCCCCATTCCCTTCTTACCCACTTAGATCCACCATTCCAACAACCTATTGCCTCAATTCTCTAACATCCCTTGTGGTCATTTTCACCACGTGGGAAAGCTCCAGATGTTAGCCAGGCAGGGCAGCACGCACCTGTAGTCCCAGCTACTAGGGAGGCTGAGGCAGGAGAATGGCTTGAACCCGGGAGGTGGAGGTTGCAGTGAGCTGAGATTGCACCACTGCACTCTGCACTCCAGTCTCCAGTCTGGGCGACAGAGTGAGACTCCATCTCAAAAAAAAAGAAAGAAAGAAAGAAAGAAAGCTCTAGATGAGCTCTGTGACCCACTTTCTCAGTACCTCTTCCTCAACAGTGGCTGGAGAGAGTCACTTAGGGTGGAGGGTTCCATTGCAAATCTAGGTTATCAGCTTCAGACCCTCAGCACCACCTGGGCTGTCCTTTCTCTGGCCACCTCTCTACATTGCTCTCTGGACCAACTCTCTTAAACATTTTCCCTTCTGTCCTTTACTTCACATACAAAACAGAAGTGAAGATCTCTGGCCTGAGATTGCAAAAACCACAACAACCAAAAACCAAAATAGAAGTCATGATGGGCGTGGTGGCTCACACGTGTAATTCCATCACTTTGGGAGGCCAAGGTGGGCAGATCACTTGAGCCCAGGAGTTCAAGACCTGCCTGGGCAACATAGCGACACTGCCCCATCTCGACAAAAAATTTTAAAAACTAGTCAAGTGTGGTGGCACACATCTGTAGTCCCAGCTATCTGGGAGGCTGAGGTGGAAGGATCACCCGAGCCTGAGAGGTTGAGGCTGCAGTGAGCTATGATCGTGCCACTGCACTCCAGTCTGGGCAACAGAGTGAGACCCTGTCTCAAACAAACAAACAAACAAAATTAAAGTCATCAGATGGGGTCTTCCTTATTTTTTTCCATCTGCATTGAGAGAGACCCAGTCTACTTTCATGAAAAGGGTGGTGGTCTTGGTATAGATGGATGGATAGATTGCTGTTTACAAGAAATGCAGTTATTTTACGTGTTTAGACACAACAAAACAGTGCTCTTTAACACACGCAAGTACAATGGCTATAGGTGCAAATACATTTTGCAATAACATACAAAGTCTAAATCTGAAGCTCTTTCTGAATTGGGAACCTAGGTAAATGGGCCCTCCTTGGTACCTAACAGGCTTCATCCACTTCCAAGCTACTCCCTGCAAGCCCCCCACCGCCCTGCCCCTCCTACCCTTCTTCTCACCAAAGTAATTGTTCTACACCCTGGCTGCGCATTGGAATCGCTTGGAGGAGCTGGCCAATTCTGCATATCATTTCAATCAGATTCTCTGGGGGTGAATCCAGGCTTCAGTTGTGTTTTTTTTTTTTTGACAGAGTGTCACTCCGTCACCAAGGCTGGAGTGCAATGGCACAATCTTGGCTCACCGCAACCTCTACCTGTTGGGTTCAAGCGATTCTCCTGCCTCAGCCTCCTGAGTAGCTGGGACTACAGGCGTGTGCCACCAGGCCCAGCTAATTTTTGTATTTTTAGTAGAGACGGGGTTTCACCACATTGGCCAGGCTGGCCTCGATCTCCTGACCTCAGGTGATCTGTCTGCCTTGGCCCCGCAAAGTGCTGGAATTACAGGCATGAGCCACCGCGCCCAACCAACATCAGTATTTATTTATTTGTTTTTTTGAGATTGATTCTTGCACTGTTGCCCAGGCTGGAATGCAAGGGTGCAATCTCGGCTCACCGCAACTTCTGCCTCCCGGGTTCAAGTGATTCTCATGCCTCAGCCTCCAGAATAGCTGAGATTACAGGCACCCGCCAACATGCCCAGCTAATTTTTGTATTTTTAATAGAGATGGGGTTTCACCACGTTAGCTAGGCTGGTCTCGAAGTTCTGACCTCAAGTGATCCGCCTGCCTCTGCCTCCTAAAGTGCTGGAATTATGGGCACCAGCCACTTCGCCCAGCCAAACACATGTAAATTTTCAAATTCTGTAGGTGATTCGAGCCAGCAGCAGAGGTTGGGGGTTGGGAAGCCAGTCCTACAGAAACTGCCCCTCCTCCTATCTACCCTTCCACTGTACTTTGTCTCCCACTCCCTCCCTCTCAACTGGTTTACTTCTAAAGACTTTTCTTTTTTTTTTTTTTCTGAGATGGAGTCTCGCTCTGTCACCCAGGCAGGAGTGCAGTGGCGCGATCTCAGCTCACTGCAACCTCCGCCTCCCAGATTCAAGTGATTCTCCTGCCTCCCAAGTAACTGGGACTACAGGTGTGTGCCACCAAGCCTGGCTAATTTTTGTATTTTTAGTAGAGATGGGGTTTCACCATGTTGGCCAGGCTGGCCTCGAACTCCTGACCTCAAGTGATCCCCCTGCCTCGGCCTCCCAAAGTGCTGGGATTACAGGCTGAGCCCCCGCACATGGCCTAAAGACTTTTCAACATGATCAAGTCTCTCCCACTTACGGAAAAAAGAAAAATTGCAAATACCCACAAATATTCCTTGACTTTCACATGCTGCTCCAAGCTCCTTCCCATCCCAGGGCTCTTAGCTAGAATGCTCTCCTCTGGTTCCAAGCTACACCCAGACTGGTAACTTAGTTACACCCTTAGCCTTGTTTCTCAAACCCTAATATGTATGCTGCTGTGCACCTGGGAGATCTTGTTAAAAAGCACATTTAGGCCTGGCGCAGTGGCAAATGCCTGTAATCTCAGTACTTTGGGAGGCCGATGGGAGGCCAAGGTGGGTGGATCACCTGAGGTCTGGAGTTTGAGACCAGCCTGGCCAACACAGTGAAACCCCGTCTCTACTAAAAATACAAAAATTAGCCGGGTGTGGTGGCGAGTGCCTGTAATCCCAGCTGCTCGGGAAACTGAGGTAGGAGAATCTCTTGAACCCGGGAGGCAGAGGTTGCAATGAGCTGAGATAGCGCCACTGCACTCCAGCCTGGGCAACAAGAGTGAGATTCCATCTCAAAAAAAAAATAAAAATAAAAAATAAAAATAAATAGCACATTTAGAAACTGTAGATCTGGGGGGGGGCTGAAGATTCTTCATTTTAACACAGTTCAATATGAGGGCGATGCTGTGCATTATCTTCAAGCAGTAAAGTTTTAAGTCTCTGCTCAACAGGCTCCTTGGGAAAGCAACCCCGACTTTCCTACGTTAAAGCCTCCTTCACAGCACTTAAGGCTTTTTTGATATTTCTGCTCGTCCTCCCAGTTTACTCCTCCATAAAATGGGCATTCCGGCCGGGTGCGGTGGCTCACGTCTGTAATCCTAGCACTTTGGGAGGCCGAGGCAGGCAGATTGCCTGAGCTCAGGAGTTCAAGACCAGCCTGGGCAACAAGGTGAAACCCCGTCTCTACTAAAATACAAAAAATTAGCTGGGCGTGGCAGCGTGTGCCTGTAGTCCTAGCTACTCGGGAGACTGAGGCAGGAGAATTGCTTGAACCCGGGAGGCGGAGGTTGCAGTGAGCCAAGATCGCACCACTGCAGTCCAGCCTGGGTGACAGAGCGACTCCGTCTCAAAAAAAAAAAAAAAAAAAAAAGGGGGCACTCCACAAAGGCATGAGACATGTCTGTCTGAGATTGCTTGCTGTCATGTCACCAGTGCCTCACATAGTGTCTGGCACATAGGAGGTGCGCTACAAACATTTGCAGGATAAAGTACATTGCTCACTACGTCAGAGAAGTAGTCCCTGCTCTAGTGAGCCAAACTCTTGTCTTCAGTAGAGCCTCTGCTCTGGGCAGAGGGAGCTGCCTCCTTTCAGCCCCTCCCCTTCCTCCAGGACTTCCATCTCACCCACCCCCTCCCCCTCACTCCCCAGGGAGCCACAGCCTCCAGTCCCAGAAACAGGGGATCAGAAAAAAACTACACAGGAGGTCCCTGGGCTCAATGTCTCTTCCCTGCTCCCAGACATGACCTACCTCCCCAGCCAACAAAATAGGACAAACAGGCCGGGCACGGTGGCTCACGCTTGTAATCCCAGCACTTTGGGAGGCCGAGGCAGGCGGATCTTGAGGTTAGGAGATTGAGACCATCCTGATCAACATGGTGAAACCCCGTCTCTACTAAAAATACAGAAATGAGCTGGGCATGGTGGCATGTGCCTGTAGTCCCAGCTACTCAGGAGGCTGAGGCAGGAGAATCGCTTGAACCTGGGAGGCGGAGGTTTCAGTGAGCCGAGATTAAGCCACTGCACTCAAGCATGACGACAGAGCGAGACCCTGTCCCCCCCGCCCCCCCTCCAAAAAAAATAGGACAAACAAACCTTTCTAGTTCCCTGGAAATTGATCTCTTCTTTTTATTGTTAGGGGTTTTGTAGGAAGGGTTAAACCGTTTACAGAAAGTGAGAAGCCTCCCTCCAGCCCTCCCTGACAACTCTTGAGATGCTCTGCAAAAGGTCAGATGTTTCCAGAAACTCAACAGACAGCCAGTGTCTGTTTAAATGGAAAGACAACGAGTTCCCGGCAGCCAGCCAGCTTTCATGGGCAGTTCTTGCCTGGTTCTGCAGGCACCCGGCCAGATGCCCAACCATAGAGCACCCCCACCCTCCCCCTTTTGTGGCCATGGGGCCGGCTGGAGTTCTCTTAACCCAGCCTGAAATCCCGCCGGCCAGGGAATTATCGGCCCCATCCGATAAATGGGGCACATACACCAACTGTTCCGGCCTGTAGACGTGCCAGGAGTGATGGGGGAGGGGGAAAAGTTCCTGCGGACACTGAATATTTTCAGCTGGAAGGGACTGTATCCTGACCCTGCTGTTTTAGAGATGAGGCTCAGAAAAGGGTACCTCTGGTGTAGTGGAGAAAATCCTTAACCAGAATCAGGAAACCTGGGTTCAAAATCCAGCCCTGGGGCTGGGCGCGGTGGCTCACGCCTATAATCGCAGCACTTTGGGAGGCCGAGGCGGGCGGATCACCTGAAGTCAGGAGTACGAGACCAGCCTGGCCAACATGGTGAAAGCCTGTCTTTACTAAAAATACAAAAATTAGCCGGGCATGGTGGCGGGCACCTGTAATCCCAGCTGCTCGGGAGGCTGAGGCAGGAGAATCGCTTGAACCCGGGAAGTGGAGGTTTCAGTGAGCCGAGATCACGCCACTGCACCCCAGCCTGGGCGACAGAATGAGACTCTATCTCAAAAAACCAAAACACGTCCAGGCGCGGTGGCTCATGCCAGCACTTCGGGAGGCCGAGGAGGGCGGATCACCTGAGGTCAGTAGTTCGAGACCAGTCTGGCCAACATGGTGAAACCCCGTCTCTACTAAAAATACAAAAAAAAAAAAAAAAAATTAGCCGGGCGCTGTGGCAGGCGCCTGTAATTCCAGCTACTTGGGAGGCTGAGGCAGGAGAATAGCTTGAACCCGGGAGGCAGAGGTTGCAGTGAGCCGAGATCCCGCCATTGCACTCCAGCCTGGGGGACAAGAGAGAGACTTCGTCTCAAAAAAAAAAAAAAAAAAAAAGAAAAGAAAAACAAAACAAAACAAAAAAAGAAAAAGACAGAAAAAAATCCAGCTCTGGCACTAAGAACTGTGGGATCTTGAGCACAGCATGAGTCCTCTCTGCACATCAGTTATCTATCTGTAAAACGCGGATGCAAATACCTCCCCGTCAGGTGGCTTGCCCAAGGTCACACACAGCACAAAACAAGGCTTCCAGATCCCAGCCTCAAGCCCAGTCACCTCTGCCCGCGGATTACCTTGAGCATCGATATTACAGAAAATAAGAAGTGGCTGAAGCTGGGCGTGGTGGCTCACACCAGTAATCCCAACACCTTGGGAGGGCAAAGGGGAGGATGGCTTAAGTCCAGGAGTTCAAGAGCAGCCTGGGCAACACAGTGAGAGCTCATCTCTACAAAAATTTAAAAAATTAGCTGGGCACGGTGGCACGTTCCTGTAGTCCCAGCTACTCAGGAGGCTGAGGTGGGAGGATGGCTCGAGCCTGCGAGGTTGAGGCGGCAGTCCACCACTGCCGCCACTGCACCACTGCAATCCAGCCTGGGCAACAAAGCAAGACCCTGTCTCAAAAAAATAAAAGTGACTGAAGACATACTTAAATAATTTGTGTCTTTTATTACTTAATCATGTTCTTTGTAGAAAAATTAGAAAATTCTGACAAGGAATGGTGGCTCAGGCCTGTGGTCCTGATACTTTGGGAGGCTGAGATGGATGGATCATTTGATTCCAGGAGTTCAAGACCAGCCTGGGGGACATGGTGAAACCCTTTTTCTACAAAAAAGTACAAAAATTAGCTGGGCATGGTGGCGCACACCTGTAGTCCTAGCTATTCAGGAGGCTAAGGTGAGAGTATCATCCGAGCCCAGAGAGGTTGAGGGTGCAGTGAGCTGTAATTGGATCACTGCACTCCAGCCTGGGTGACAGAGTGAGACCCCATCTCAAAAAAAAAAAAAAAATTAAAAAAAGAAAAGAAAATTCTGATAAGCACATAGAGAAATAAATTTATATTCCCATCCCCTGGAGTTAATAACTGTTAAAATTCTGGTGTTTAACCTTTCATAGTTTCAAGGTGTGTATTTACAAACTTTTTTTGAAGATGGACCATAGGATACATATGCTTTTACATTCCTGTTGCTCTCTTTTGTTTTTTTTTTTTTTTTTTTGCCTAACCCTGCCATGAACTAGCTCTTTTTGTTTCTATTTAACATTTCAATGGATAATTTACATCCATTAACGTCTACCTATAGTTAGATAAGTAAAGCATTCTATAGTTTGTCTAATCTCCTATAGCTAGATATTTAGGTTTTCAATATTTACATTATTATGAGCAAGATAAACTCATCTTTATTCATTTCTTTTATTTTCTTAGAATAAACTATGCTTTGTGGACTGCTGGATCAAAGGGTCTGTGTATGTGTATGTGTGTGTATATACGGGTCTCACTCTGTCACTCAGCCTGGAGTGCAGTGGCGCGATCTCTACCCACTGCAACTTCTGCCTCCTGGGTTCAAGCAATCCTCCCACCTCACCCTCCCGAGTAGCCGGTAATACAGGTGCTTGCCACCCTGCCAGGCTAATTTTTGTATTTTTTGTAGAGATGGGATTTCATCATGTTGCCCACTTTGGTGTTGAATTCCTGGGCTCCAGCGATCCTCCCACCTTGGCCTCCCATAGTGCTGGGATTACAGGCGTGAGCCACCGCGCCCAGCCAATATGTGCAAATATATTTTTTAATTTAAATTTTTGTCTATTTTTTTACACATATATTTTTAAAGAGACAAAGTCTTGCTGTGTTGCCCAGTTAGACTCAAACTTCTAGGCTTAAGTGATCCACCTCAGTCTCCCAAATGGCTGGGACTACAGGTGGTGCCTGGCTTGGATCTCTATATTTTTTAAAGGCTTCTGATACACTGTCAGATTGTTCTTGAGAAATGTTGTGAAAACGGTCATTTCTTAATATATTTCAACATATTTCTATATGAAGACTTGTCCTTTTTTCTTTCTTTTCTTCTTCTTCTTTTTTTTTTTTTTTTTGACAAAGGGTTTGGCTCTGTTGTCCAAGCTAGAGTACCATGGTGTGATCATGGCTCATTGCTCACTGCAGCCTCAACTTCCTGGGCTCAAGTGATCCTCCCACCTCAGTCTCCTGAGTAGCTGGGACTATAGGTGTGTGTCACCAGGCCTGGATAATTTATTTTGTTTATTTATTTTTCTTTCTGAAGATTCCAGAAGTATAATTTTTTATTTTTTGTAGAGACAGGGGTCTCTCCATGTGGCCCAGGTTAGTCTCCAATTCTTGCCCTGAAGCTATCCTCCCGCCTTGGCCTCCCACAGTGCTGGGATTCCAGGTATAAGGCACCGGTCCTGGCCAGTCCTTCTTTACCTGGAAAGCTGCTCTTTTCAACACAACACTCAGCCTTGGGAAACCCGAGGGTGTAGGAAGGAGAGCCCAGATAGGATGAAGGGGTACTGGTCCATGGACAGAGAGCAGGGTTGAGCAGGGGTTTTTTTTGTTTTGTTTTTGTTTTTTGTACCTGACTCACTCCTCCATGTGCCCAGGCATTAAGACGCCATTAAGGCGCAGTGGCTCACACCTTAATCCCAGCACTTTGGGAGGCTGTGGCAGGCAGATCACGAGGTCAGGAGATCAAGACCATCCTGGCCAACATGGTGAAACCCTGTCTCTCAGGAGAATCGCTTGAACCTGGGAGGTGGAGGTTGCAGTGAGCCGAGATCGTGCCATTGCACTCTAGCCTGAGTGACAGAGAGAGACTCTGTCTCAAAAAAAAAAAAAAGAAAGAAACCCTGTCTCTACTAAAACTACAAAAATTAGCTGGGCGTGGTGGCACATGCCTGTAGTCCCAGCTACTCAGGAGGCTGATGCAGGAGAATTGCTTGAACCCGGGAGGCCGAGATCACGCCCACTGCACTCCAGCCTGGAGACAGAGCAAGACTGTCTCAAGAAAACAAAACAAAACAAAAAAAGATAAGACCTGGCCAGTAAGATGTCCACGTCCCTTTCTCCTACCCCACATCACAACAAGGGCTACGGGATACGAGAGAAACTGGTCCAGATATTGACCTAGAAAACTCTGATGGATGGATTTTTTGTTGTTGCATGTGTTTTTGCATATCCTCCTTCCAGCCCTCTAAACAGTCACTTTCAAAAACTCTTCATTTCCAAGTTAGACATCACTATTACAACTTCTGTAAGCGGCTGTAGTTTTAGTAGAGACGGGGTTTCACCGTGTTAGCCAGGATGGTCTCGATCTCCTGACCTCGTGATCCACCTGCCTCGGCCTCCCAAAGTGCTGGGATTACAGGCGTGAGCCACCGCGCCCGGCCGACAGGGTTTTACTATGTCGCCCAGCCATGGTCATGGCTCACTGCAGCCTTGACCGCCTGTGGTCAATGGACCCTCCCACCTCAGTCTCCCTAGTAGCTGGGACTACTGGCATGCACCCATGCCTGGCTAATATCTTCTTCTTCTTCTTCTTCTTCTTTTTTTTTTTTTTTTTGAGACAGAGTCTTCCTCTGTCACCCAGGCTGGAGTGCAGTGGTGTGATCTCGACTCACTGCAACCTCCACCTCCCAAGTTCAGGCGATTCTTGTGCCTCAGCCTCCCAAGTAGCGAGGACTACAGGTGCATGCCACCACACCCGGCTAATGTTTGCATTTTTATTTAATTAATTAATTTATTTTTTGAGACGGAGTTTCGCTCTCATTGCCCAGGCTGGAGTGCAATGGCATGATCTCAGCTCTCTGCAACCTCCATCTCCCGGGTTCAAGTGATTCTCCTGCCTCAGCCTCCCATGCAGCTGGGATTACAGGCATGTGCCACCATGCCCAGCTAATTTTTGTATTTTTAGTAGAGACAGGGTTTCACCATGTTAGTTAGGCTGGTCTCGAACTCTTGACCTCAGGTGATCCACCCGCCCCGGCCTCCCAAAGTGCTGGGATTACATGCATGAGCCACTGTACCCAGCTATTTTTCTATTTTTTTTTTTTAAATAGAGTTGGGGGTCTCACTATGTTGCCTAGGCTGGTATATTTTTATTTTATTTTATTTTTTATGAGACTAAGTCTTGCTCTGTTGCCCAAGCTAGACTGCAGTGGCAAAATCTTGGCTCAGTGCAACCTCCATTTCCCAGGTTTAAGTGATTCTCATGCCTCAGCCTCCTGAATAGCTGGAATTACAGGTGCTCACCACCATGCCCGGCTAATTTTTGTATTTTTAGTAGAGATGGGGTTTCACCATATCGGCCAGGCTGGTCTCAAACTCCTGACCTCAGGTGATCCACCCACCTTGGCCTCCCGAAGTGCTAGGATTAGAGGCATAAGCCACTGTGCCCAGCCAGATATATTTTAAATTTATTGTAAACTATTAATGTATGTCAAAACTATATACAGGCAAACTTCGTTTATATTGCTCTTTGAAGATATCACGTTTCGTAGATACTGCATTTTTTTATGAATTGAAGGTTTGTGGCAAGGTCAAGCAAGTCTATGAGCACAGCTTCTCCAACAGCATGTGCTCACTTAGTGTCTGTGTCACATCTTGCTGATTCTTTCAACGTTTCAAACTTTTTCATTATTAATATATCTGTTATGGTGATCTGTGATTGGTGATCTTTGATGTTACTATTTAATTGTTTTGGGGTACCATGAACCGGGCCCATACAAGATGGCAAACTTAATTGATAAACTTTTTTTCTTTTTTTTCTTTTTGAGGCAGAGTTTCACTTGCTCAGGCTGGAGCTCAGTGGTGTGATCTTGGCTCACCGCAATCTCTGCCTCTGGGGTTCAAGCGATTCTCCTGCCTCAGCCTCCGGAGTAGCTTGGATTACAGGAGTGCGCCACCACGCCCGGGTAATTTTTGTGTTATTAGTAGAGATGGGGTTTTACCATATTGGCCAGGCGGGTCTCGAACTCCTGACCTCAGGTGATCCACCCGCCTCGGCCTCCCAAAGTGCTGGGATTACAGGTGTGAGCCACTGTGCTCAGCCACAATTGATAAACGTTTTGCTTGTTCTGGCTGCTCCATCAAACGGCCACCAACGGGTCATTCTCCCTCCCTTCTGTCTCCCTCTTCTGGAGCCTCCCTATTCCCTGAGACACAAAGATGTTGCAATTAGGCCAATTAATAACCCTATGATGGCCTCTAAGTCCTCTGTTCACACAAAAGCAAGAGTTCCACATCTCTAGGTACAAAGGATTAAGCTTAGTGAGGAAGGCATGTTGAAAGCCAAAACAGGCTGAAAAACTAGTCTTCTTGAGCCAATTAGCCAAGTTTAAAAGACAAAGGAAAATTAAAGGCACTATGACAGTGAACACACAAACAGGAAGTACGCAAAACAGGCTGGGCGTGGTGGCTTGCACTTATAATCCCAGCAATTGTGGTGCCCAGGCAGGCAGATTGCTTGAGCCCAGGAGTTCGAGACCAGCCTGGCCAACATGGGCAAACCCAGTCTCTACAAGACATATAAAAGTTAGCAAGGTATGGTGGTGCACGCCTGTGGTCCCAGCTACTTGGGAGGCTGAGGTAGGAGGATCGCTTGAGCCTAGGAGGTCAAGGCTGCAGTGAGCCATGACTGTGCCACTGCACTCCCATCTGGGTGACAGAGTGGAACCCTGTCTCAAAAAAATTTTTAAATTAAAAAAAAAAATTAAAAAGATATATCCTTTTTTTTGTTTTCAGACAGAGTCTGGCTCTATCACCCAGGCTGGAGTGCAATGGCATGATCTTGGCTGACTGCAACCTCCGCCTCCTGGGTTCAAGCGATTCTCCTGCCCCAGCCTCCCAAGTAGCTGGGATTATAGGCACCCGCCACTATGCCTGGCTAATTTCTGTGGTATCTGCATATTTTTTAGAGATAATATGATGGCTTACTTAATAGACTACAGGATAGTATGAACATAACTTTTATATGCACTGGGAAACCAAAAAAAATTCATGTGACTTGCTTTACTGCAGTGGTCTGGAACTGAACCTGCAGTATTTCCAAGGTATGCCTATATATCAAAAAGGCCTGGAGGGATTCAGCAGCAACATGTTAACTCCCCTCTGGGAAGGAGGGTGGTTTGGGATGGGGTGGTAGACATTACCAAGGTGAATCAATATTTCCAGCTCTCTTCCTGTGTCCAGGGGAAGGTTATACTTTCACACTGTCTTGAAGTTAGGTGTATCCTTGTGATTTGCTTGTGAAATGTGAGGAAAAGTGTCAAGTATCCCTTCCAGGGGAGGCATTTGAGATCCTGTGTTGGTTCTCATGCTTTCTTCCTCTATAATGGTGAACTGTGAAGTATCACGTTGGGATGGTGGCATCATATGTTGGTGGCACTGTGACTATGGTGCGGACTACAATGAGCTGAATCTCTGTGTCCATGTTAGGAATAAAGCATGGGCAAGAAAAAAATCTTTGTTGTTTTAAGCCATTGACATTTTTAGAGATGTTTGTTACCACAGCATAGCCTAGCCTGTCCTGACTGATGCAAGGGGTGATGAGAGAGTTTCGTGTCTTCTGCTAGCCTTTTCTGTATTTTTATCCTTTTACAATGAGAAAATGCCATTTATAATTTTTAAAAATAAAAATAAGATGCCTGTCATGGTGGCTCATACCTGTAACCCCAGCACTTTGGGAGGCTGAGGCGGGAGGATCTCTTGATCCCAGCAGTTTGAGAACAGCCTAGGCAACATGGTGAAACCCCAAAAATTAGCTGTGCGTGGTAGCATGAGCCTGTAGTCCCAGCTACTTGGTAGGCTGAGGTGGGAGAATCACCTGAGCCTGGGAGGTCGACGCTGCAGTGAGCCGAGATTGTGCCACTGTATTCCAGCCTGGGTGACAGAGTGAGCAAAATAATTTAAAAAATAAGAATAATTGACATGCACACAAATAGGAGCATAATATATACACTGCTATCCAATGTTCCTCTTATTCTTAAAACTGACCTTACGTTTTTGTTTTTGGTTTTTGGGTTTTTTTAGGGACTGGATCTCACTCTGTCACTCAGGCTGGAGTGCAGTGGTGTGATCATAGCTCACTGCAGCCTGGAACCCCTGGGCTCAATGATCCTCCTGCCTCGGCCTCCCAAAGTGTTAGGATTACAGGTGTGAGCCACCGTGCCCGGCCAAACTGACCCTTTCTATGTCAACTTACATAGCTCTACCTCGTTCTTTTAAATAGCTGCATGGTAATCTGTTCTCTGGATACACTACAATGTATTTTATACAAACACACACATTTTTTTAGAGACAGAGTCTTGCTAAGTTGCGCAGTCTGGAGTGCAGTGGCTATTCACAGAACCATCCTGCTACTGATCAGCACCAGAGTTCTGACCTGCTCTGTTTCGGACTTGGGCTGGTTCATCTCTCCTTAGACAACCTGGTGGTCCCCCAGCTCCCAGTAGGTCGCCATATTGATGCCCAACTTAGTGTGGACACACTATAAGCATAGAGCACTACAGCCCAGAACTTCTGGACTCAAGTGATCCTTCCACCTCAACCTCCTGAGTAGCTGATTACAAGGTGCCCACCACCACAATGTATCATAATGGATCACTATTGACAGACGTATAGGTTATTCACATATAGATTATTCACATCCGGTTATTCACAAAACAAATGCTCTAAATCACAGCTAGACTACAGCTGACTATTGCAAAATTTATGGGAGAGTGCTGATATTTATTTTCCCTCTTTTGTTTCATTCTGGCAGTTTACAGCCTGATCTTAGCACTCAGGTAGGGCTGTGCAAACTTCCTGTGGATGGATGACTAAGCCAGGCATGCTTGCACCCTTTCCAGGATATACGGATGAGGAGGCTGGTAAGTGCCTGCAGGGGTGCATGCGTGAAGGCTTGGGGGCGGGCCAGAAGAGCAGGGCCGGGAAGCACGTACACATTGCAGCTCTGGGCTGACTGACCCTGACTCATGAGTTCAGGCAGAGAAGTTAACGGCCTGGAAACTCCAGAGCGCTGAACGAGGTCTGACTCACTGACAATTATCCAGAAACGAGTAATATCACTTCTCGGTTTTCCTCCAGAGCCACCACACAATCTTTGGGAAGGGCCTGTGACATGAATCATTAAGATCCTGAGAAAGATGAGAGTTGTTCAAAGAGACTGCCAAGAGGTTTATAATTTCTGTGTCATTCATTGGAAGATGTCTACTTAGTCCTCATTACCTTCATATTTTGAATGCCCCCCAAGTAAAGGGTCCATTCATGGGTGACACAGATTCCACCTGCATCCCTAGAGGGATCTGACTGAAAACATGAGACACATGTATCAGGACTTCTTCCCATTCTTTTATTTCTATTCAGTGGTCTTCCTTCCTTCCTATTTCATAAGATAGGGTCTCACTGTGTTGCCCAGGCTGGAGTGTGGTGGCTATTCACATACATAATCATGGCTTACTGCAGCCTCCAGTCCCTGGCCTCAAGTGATCCTCCTGCCACAGCCTCCTGTGTTGCTGGGACTACAGGCCCATGTCACCATGCTTGGCCTATTCAGTAGCTTTTTTCAATTCTTTTTCAGAATGAAAATGGCTTTATTGGCTGGGTGCAGCGGCTTATGCCTGTAATCCAAGCATTTTGGGAGGGTGAGGCAGGTGGATTACCTGAGGTCACGAGTTCAAGACTAGCCTGATCAACATGGTGAAACCCCATTTCCACCAAAAATACAAAAAAATTAGCTGGGCTTGGTGGTGCACACCTGTAATCGCAGCTACTCGGGAGGCTGAGGCAGGAGAATCACTTGCACCCAGGAGGCAGAGGTTGCAGTGACCTGAGATCACGCCATTGCACTCTAGCCTGGGCAACGAGAGTAAAACTCCATCTCAAAAAAAAAAAAAAAAAAAAAAGCCTGATTATAAAGGAAATACTTGCCCATTATAAAATAAAACTTCAGACAAGTATATAGAAGGGAGTGAAATCACCCATAAGGTGATTCCCAGAGATGCTGCTATTAGCATTCTGGAGCACATCCTTCCAGACTTTCTGTATGTGTGTCTGCATACAACGGAGACACATATTTGCAAAGTTACCAATAAGTATAGATTTCTGCCCTCATTTGGAGGAGCTGCCCCATATTCCATCACAAGGGTGCCTCTCGTCTCCTCCCTCTCCTGCTGCAGATCTAACAGAAGGCCATGGCAAGGACTTAAAAAGCTTTCTTTTCTTTTTCTTTTTTTTTGAGACAGGGTCTGTCTCTGTTGCCCAGGCTGGAGTGCAGTGATGTTATTTTGGCTCACTGCAGCCTCAACTTCCCAGGCTCAAATCATCCTCCCACCTCAGCCTCCCGAGTAGCTGGGACTACAGCGACATACCACCATACTGCTGATCTTTGTTTGTTTTTTTTTTTGAGACAGAGTCTTGCTCTGTTGCCCAGGCTGAAGTGCAATGGCATGATCTCGGCTCACTGCAACCTTCACCTCCCAGGTTCAAGAGATTCTCCTGCCTCAGCCTCCTGAGTAGCTGGGATCACAGGTGTGTGCCACCATGCCTGGCTAATTTTTGTATTTTTGGTAGAGATGGGGTTTTGCCATGTTGCCTAGGCTGGTTCAAACTCCTGGGCTCAAGCCATCCTCCCACTTTGGCCTCTCAAAGTGCTGAGATTACAAACATGAGCCAACATGGCTGGCCTCCCGGCCGATAAGCTTTTTTTTTTTTTTTTTAAATTGAGATGGAGTCTTACTCTGTCACCCAGGCTGGAGTGCAATGACGTGATCTTGGCTCACTGCAGCCTCCACCTCCTGGGTTCAAGTGATTCTCCTGCCTCAGCCTCCCGAGTAACTGGGATTACAGGCATGTGCTACCACACCTGGCTAAGTTTTGTATTTTTAGTAGAGATGGGGTTTCACCATGTTGGCCAGGGTTGTCTTGAACTCCTGACCTCAGGTGATCCACCTGCCTCGGCCTCCCAAAGTGCTGGGATTATAGGCGTGAGCCACTGCGCCCGGCCCAGATAAGCTTGTAATGAGCCTAATAAAGGCATCTAAAGATGGCATTTTGGTTTTAACAATTTAGCCGTGAAGAACTCCATCTTCCATGCAACTGGAAGGGAATTTACATGCATATGGTCATGGGGGGAGGAACACTGTGCTTAGAGTCAGACCAGCTGAGTTCTAGAATTCCCTTTGCCATTTTCCTATGTGGGCAAGTCCCTTCACCTCTCTGAACCTCATCTGCAGTTGAATATATGTGAAACCGGCTGTTAAGTACTATGTGCTATGTACTCTGTAGAGGCATTACTGGGATTCTGTGGCAGAATAGGGCAGAGACTTTGACTTCTCAGTCCAGGAAGAAGGCAAGAATTTTAGTTTCCCTGGAAGAGACCTAAAGGTAAGTCTCATCACATATATCCAAGAGCCCTAGAAAAATTTAGAGCTCAAAAGCATTTCAGAGATCAGAATAGTACCCCCTCATTGCAGTAATTCTCAACATGTGTACATGGATAACATGACCTAATGGAGAAATGCGATCGATATGTGGATCTTCGGCATTCTATGTCTGGCTGGAGCTTCCTGAGACTAATAGTTCTCTTCCTGGTTCTGCACCAAATGAGGGATATTACCTTAGGCAAGTTCCTGTAAGCCTCTGGACGCGTCGATTTTCTGATTTATGAAATGGAGTTTATGATCCTGCTCTACCTGTCTCACAGAGTTATTGGGAGGTGCAAATGAGGCACCACAGGTGAAAGTATTTTGGAAATGGACAGTGTTTCACGCTCACAAAGCTGCCTCATTGCGGTGCCAGGGCCACTGCCCCAGATCACAGAGAAACGATGGGCACAGGCAGCCCAGACCCTACTTCAAGGTGGGTCTTACAGAATGGGTAGTCTACAGAGTCCCTGAGTGCCTACTCTGCCAGGCACTGCTCTGGGCACTTCTGGGGAGATAAAGGGAGAAAGGACAGACAGGTTCCCTGTCTTCACGGAGCTTAGCTTCTGGTGGAGGGAGGTAGACAATAAAAAAGGGAGACACGGCAAGTGTGATGGCTCACGCCTGTAATCCCAGCACTTTGGGAGGCCAAGGCGGGCAGATCACGAGGTCAGGAGTTTGAGACCAGCCTGACCAACATAGTGAAACACCATCTGTACTAAAAAATACAAAAAATTAGCCGGCTGTGGTGGCGTATAACTGTAATCCCAGCTACTTGGGAGGCTGAGGCAGGAGAATTGCGTGAACCCGGGAGGCGGAGGTTGCAGTGAGCCAAGATTGCGCCATTGTATTCCAGCCCAGATGACAGTACGAGACTCTGTCTCAAAAAAAAAAAAAAAAAAAAAAAAGGGAGATAAATACAAAAAGGATAATTTCAGAGACAGGTATGCTCTGGATATAAAACTGGATGATGTTGGTTGAGAGGGACAAGGCAGGGGTGACAGAAGAAGACTGCTCTGAGGAGGTTACACCTAAGCACAAGACCTGAGTGATAAAGACAGCAACCGAAAGACCTGAAGCTCAGAGTGTTTCAGGACAAAGGGACAGCGAGTGCAAAAGCCCTAAGGCAGGAACAAAGTCCTATTCAAGGAACTTAAAGAAGCCTGGTGACTGGGAGCTACAGCAGAAGTTGGAAGGGAGCAGGCCAGGGCTTGTGGCAGGTTTTGAGGAGAAGTGAGACATAGTCTAGTTTGTGTTATGCAAAGATTACCCTCTGCTGGGTTTGAAGTTTCATTTCCTAAGCTGAGTGCAGTGGCTTACCCCTGTAATTTCAACATTGTGGGAGGCCAAGGTGGGTGGGTCACCTGAGGTCAGGAGTTCAAGACCAGCCTGGCCAACGTGGTGAAACCCCATCTGTACTAAAAATACAAAAATTAGCCGGGTGTGGTGGTGTGTGTCTGTAATCCCAGCTACTCGGGAGGCTGAGGCGGGAGAATTGCTTGAACCCGGGAGGCAGAGGTTGCAGTGAGCCGAGATCGCGCCACTGCACTCCAGCTTGGGCAACAGAGACCCCGTCTGAAAAAATAAAATTAAGTTCATCTCCATAGGCGGTGTTGGGGACAGCAGTGAATTTTAAGGGCTTGCAAGGGCTTTATGCATGAACCAGCACAACCTCCTGAACCTTCATAGTACAAAATTGAGACACGGAGAGAGCTGGCTTGCCTAAGGTCTCTCCAGTGCCCCATCCTGGGCTGGCATTCAAACCCAGCTCTCAGATCCCAGGTGCCGCCTCTACACCCAAGACCACCCCTCCAGGAGAGGTTGGGAGGGGGCTCACTGAGGCCACACTGTGGAATGAGGACCCAGAATAGGTCTCTCTCAGTGCCCCAAGGTTTCCTGGTTTAGCCAGTGAGATCCCATCACTGGGTTCCAGAAAGGAAGTACGTTGCCCATGCTGGGCCCTGTTTGGTGTCACCAGACTTAGCCCTCAGCCCTCAGTTGGCAGGGACAGGGAGGAGGGGTCAGCTCCATGAACCCAGACAGCCAAGAGCAACCTGATCCAGCAGGAAGCTGGCCTCCAGCCAGACAAAGCATCCACAGGCACCTGGAGCCTTTGTTCCCTTTACTCCTGTTGCAAACTTTCCCAGCACCTGCACTGAGCCTCAGGAGCACCTGGGCCACGAAGGGGCTCCCACGGGATCTGGTTCTCCTGCAACAGGGAGTGGCCAACTCCTGACCAGAGGGAGACCTCGTGTTAACATTATAATGATAACAACAATAGTGTCCACTTACGGCGCTCACTACGGGCCAGGTGTGTCATTCCATTTAACTCCCACAACAAACCCAGAGGCATGTACTATTATTATTCCCATTTCACAGATTAGGAAGTGCAAGCATAGAGAGGTAAGTTGACCTGAAGTGAAAATAGCACGGGCTTTCGAATCAGCAAATCCCAACCTTGTTTGCCTCTGTGACCTTGGGCAAGATATGTAAACTTCACAGGACCTGTCGTCTGATTCTGACCCCAGAAGACTGCAGTGCGGATTGAATAACTGGATGTAAGCAAAGCCTCTGGCACCAGGATCTGAATCCACAGGTCTTGTCTTCGTCCCTCCCTCCCACCATAGTTCTGTGACCTTGGGCTTGTTACTACCACTGAGGTCAGTTTCCTCAAGTAAACAGGTATAATAATATTACCTAATAAGGCTGTTGAAGGCCTGCAGCTCTTTGGAGAGGAATACTTCTTTAGAGAAGGCTGTGATCCTGAGACCATCCAAGGAAGATGCCGTTTAACGTATTGCCCTCTTTGCTTTCTACCAAAATAAACAAAGAAACACAAATAGAAAAACCGGTCTTAGAGCCATTTCCCATTTGAGACAAAAAGCCAATATTACTCATACAGCTGAGCGCAGAAGATTTTCTCAGAAGGAAAACCAGAAGTGACCGCTCAAGTCATAACATGGTTACCAGGATTCTATTTCCACACCCTCAGACAGGACAAATGACCCCACCCACAGCAGTGGTGACAAGAGGACAAGATGGACTGTTGTAGGCTCCTATAAAGTCTAGGGAAAGGCCGGGTGTGGTGGCTCACGCCTGTAATCCCAGCACTTTGGGAGGCCGAGGTGGGTGGATTACTTGAGGTCAGAAGTTTGAGACCAGCCTGGCCAACATGCCGAAACCCCGTCTGTACTAAAAATATGATAATTAGTGAGGTGTGGTGGTGGGTGCCTGTAATCCCAGCTACTCAGGAGGCTGAGGCAGGAGAATCGCTTGAACCTGGGAGGTGGAGGTTGCCGTGAGCTCAGATCATGCGACAGCACTCCAGCCTGGGCGACAGAGTGAGATGCCGTCTCAAACCACCCACCCCCGCAAAAAAACAAACAAACAATAAATAAAATAGGTCCGGTGTAGTGGCTCATGCCTGTAATCCCACACTTTGGGAAGCCAAGGTGGCAGATTGCCTGAGCTCAGGAGTTCGAGACCAGCCTGGGTAACATAGTGAGACCCCCCCCAACCCCCCGTCCCTACAAAAAATTAAAAAAATTAGCCAGGCATGTTGGCACACACATGTAGTTCCAGCTACTTGGGAGGCTGAGGTAGAAGGATCACTTGAGCCTGGGAGGTCGAGGCTGCAGTAAGCTATAATTGTGCCACTGCACTCCAGCCTGGGCAACAGGGTGAGACTTGTCTCAAAAAGAAAAAAAAAAAAAGGTAATTGGAGGGGAAAATCCTATTCTTCTTGGATTGCTAAGCTGGTAGGATGTGAATCCTGACCGGTTGATAGCCATTTTCTGGGTGGCGAAAGGCTTTCTGCAGTAGTGGGGGATGAAGACATCAATGAAAGAAGCCAGTGTGAGTGGCAGTGTCCTGACGTTGTATTCCCAGACCCCTATGGTTCCTGCTACCCCTCCCATGGTGTGGTTCAATGAACCAATAAATTCCTTTCTGTTCCTGGCAAATCCAGAGCCCTGCCTAACCCAACCACCCAGCACTGAGTAGTAATAAACACAAGAGTTCAGTAGGAGAAATGCCATGGGCAGGACTGGAAGTGAAAGTTCTAGGCAACAGGGTTGTGAAGTCAGAGAGGGACAAGACTGCCTCATTCATTCTGTCAATATTTTTGAGTGCTTGCTTGTACCAGGCACCTGTTAGTCACTCAGGATATAACAGTGAATGAGAAGGGCCTGGTCCCTTTTCTCACTTTGGAATAATCAGAGAGGGGACCCTGGAGTTGGTGAGGCATGAGGAGGTCACTGAAAGATGGTAAAATCTGGCCAGGCAGAGAGGGATGAGGAGAATTTTCCACAAATAGAAAAACATGAATAAAGATTCAAAGGCATAAAACTGTAGTGCCTATGCGCCGGGCGCGGTGGCTCATGCCTGTAATCCCAGCACTTTGGGAGGCCGAGGCGGGCGGATCACTTGAGGTCGGGAGTTCAAAACCAGTCCGGCAAACATGGTGAATCCCCATCTCCACTAAAGATTCAAAAATTAGCCTGGCATGGTGGTGCGTGCCTGTAGTCCCAGCTACTTGAGAGGCTGAAGCAGAAAAGCCAGAGGGGTGGAGGCTGCAGTGAGCGGAGATCACACCACTGCACCCCAGCCTGGGCAACAGAGTGAGACTCTGTTAAACAAACAAACAAACAAACAAAAACTATAGTGTCTATGAAGTCACAGACAAGGTCCTGTATTTCCACAGTGCCTGGCTACCATATGTGCTCAATAAGTGTTTGCTGTGTGTCGAAGTAAGTGCAAAAATGAATCAATGAAGCAAAGTTTAAGTCATTTTCTGGAAGAGCAGGTCATTAGCTGGGCTGGAGAAGAGGTCCTTTTGGAAAAGGTAACGCGGAGGGAGGGAGATTGAAGCCAGACTTCAGACGACCTTGCTGAAAAGCATGGTCTTTGCCTTGATCACACCACACAATCCCAGCGCTGGCAGGGCTGGGAGCAGCTGGCCAGTCAGAGCGGCTCCCACAAGCTTTGTGTGGCCCCATCTGTACTGTGGCTGCCCCGCCCATGCTCTCCAGCCTCGCCAGCCAGGCTCCACCCAGCACCCTAACCAGCACCACAGCCACCCAAGGTCATGCCCCAGACACCACCCGCCCTGCTGGCTCCTGGGCAAAGCTGCTTGCACAGCACTCCTGCTCAGTCTGTAATTTAAACATGACCTCCTCTTCAGCCTAGAGCGCTCGTGGCTTTCTACACCCCAGACATACACTCTGCTGCGGGGAGTTGCTAGTACAGGAAAAGAGGTCTGGAGTCTCCTGGAACTCCTGGACCTTGGCCAAGAGGGCATTCCTCCCAACTCCACTAGGCTGAGGCTGGACACAGCTAGGGTCCCCATCGTTGGTTCCTTAGCCTAGGACTAGGGAGACCATGCCCCCTCGTGGCCAGGAGCCACGCAGCACGTTGGCCTTTTTGGAGAATTTGCACCATTTCTTTCTTTTTTTCTTTCTTTTTTTCTTTCTTTCTTTCTTTCTTTCTTTCTTTCTTTCTTTCTTTCTTTCTCTTTCTTTTCTTTCTTTCTTTCTTTCTTTCTTTCTTTCTTTCTTTCTTTCTTTCTTTCTTTCTTTCCTTCTTTCCTTCTTTCTTTCCTTCCTTCCTTCCTTTCTTTTTCTTTCTTTCTCCTTCCTTCCTTCCTTCCTTCCTTCCTTCCTTCCTTCTTTCAAGAAAATACATTTCTGAAAAGCTGAGAATATCAATAGGTCATTTAAGTTACACAGGTTGATATCTCAAAGAATCTCATAGTAAAGAATTTTTGAAAAAGCTGTTTTGGGCCTGGTGCGGTGGCTCACGCCTGTAATCCCAACACTTTGGCAGGCTGAGGTGGGTGGATCACGAGGTCAGGAGTTCAAGACCAGCCTGGCCACGACGTCGGGAGTTCAAGACCACTAAAAATACAAAAATTAGCCAGGCACGGTGGCAGTTGCCTGTAATCCCAGCTACTCGGGAGGCTGACCCAGGAGAATTGCTTGAACTCAGGTGGCAGTGGTTGCAGTGAGCCGAGATCGCGCCACTGCAATCCAGCCTGGGCGATAGAGTGAGACTCCATCTCAAAAAAAAAAAAAAAAAGGAAAGAAAGAAAAAGAAAAAGCTGTTTTGGATTTGCCAAAACCAAAGCAAATGTTTCTGACTCTAATTTCTTTTATTTTTATTTATTTATTTTTTGAGACAGAGTTTCACTCTTGTTGCCCAGGCTGGAGTGCAATGGCACGATCTCAGCTCACTGCAACCTCTGCCTCCTGAGTTCAAGCGATTCTCCTACCTCAGTCTCCCAAGTAGCTAGGACTACAGGCGTGCACACACCTGGCTAATTTTTGTATTTTTAGTAGAGACGGGGTTTCACCATGTTGGCCAGGCTGGTCTCAAACTCCTGACCTCAATTGATCCTCTTGCCTAGGCCTCCCAAAGTGCTGGGATTACAGGCAAGAGCCACCACGTCCCGCCTCTAATTTCTCTCCTCTTCTCTCCTTTCCTTTCCTTTCCTCTCCTCTCCTTTCCTTTCCTCTTCTCTTCTTGTTTTTTTCTTTTCTTCCCTCCCTCCCTCCCTCCCTCCTTCCTTCCTTCCTTCCTTCCTTCCTTCCTTCCTTCCTTTTTGAGACAGAGTTTTGTTCTGTCACCCAGACCTGAGTGCAATGGGCACAATTTTGGCTCACTGCAACCTCCATCTCCCCGGTTCAAGTGATTCTTCTGCCTCAGCCTCCCGAATAGCTGGAACTACAGGCACCTGCCACCATGCCCAGCTAATTTTTTGTATTTTCAGTAGAGATGGGGTTTCACCATGTTGGCCAGGCTGCTCTCGAACGCCTGACCTCAGGTGATCCACCTGCCTCAGCCTTCCAAAATGCTGGGATTACAGGCATGAGCCACCGCACCCGGCTTAATTTCTTTCTTTTTTTTTTTTTTCTTTTCTTTTTTTTTTGAGATGGATTCTTGCTCTGTTGTCCAGGCTGGAGTGCAGTGGCGCAATCTCAGCTCACCGTAACCTCTGCCTCCCAGGTTCAAGCGATTCTTCTGCCTCAGCCTCCCAAGTAGCTGGGACTACAGGCGTGCACTACCATGCCCGGCTAATTTTTGTATTTTTAGTAGAGATGGGGTTTCACTATGTTGGCCAGGCTGGTCTCGAACTCCTGACCTCGTGATCTGCCCGCCTCAGCCTCCCAAAGTGCTTGGATTACAGGCATGAGCCACTGCGCCTGGCCTGGCCTAATTTCTTTTTTTTTTTTTTTTGAGACGGAGTCTCGCTCTGTCGCCCAGGCTGGAGTGCAGTGGCATGATCTCGGCTCACTGCAAGCTCCGCCTCCCGGGTTCATGCCATTCTCCTGCCTTAGCCTCCAGAGTAGCTGGGACTACAGGCGCCCGCCACCACGCCCGGCTAATTTTTTTGTATTTTTAGTAGAGACGGGGTTTCACTGTGTTAGCCAGGATGGTCTTGATCTCCTGACCTCATGATCCGCCTGCCTCGGCCTCCCAAAGTGCTGGGATTACAGGCGTGAGCCACTGCGCCCCGCCAACCTAATTTCTTTTAACACTTAACTGTGAAGTTGGTAGGATGGGATGTCTGAAAATTGTTTTAATTATTTGCCAGCTCTGGCCAGGCGCGGTGGCTCATGCCTGTAATCCCAGCTGTTTGGGAGGCTGAGGCGGGTGGATCACCTGAGGTCAGGAGTTTGAGATTAGCCTGGCTAACATGGTGAAACCCGTCTCTACTAAAAATACAAAAATTAGCCAGGAGTGTTGGTGTGGCCTGTGGTCCCAGCTACTCCAGAGGCTGAGACAGGAGAATTGCTTGCTCGAACCCAGGAGACGGAGGTTGCAGTGAGCCAAGATCGTGCCATTGCACTCCAGCCTGGGCGACAGAGTGAGAATCTGTCTAAAAAAAAAAAAAAAAAAAAAGATTTGCCAACTCCATGAACAATCTTCCCAGCTGAATATGTTCTGTGAGGTTGCGGAACATGCCTTCTGCTTTTTTTTCCTTATTCTAAGAGCCCTGTGAGGGCAAGTAGATCCCTAGTCTGTTGAATGAACTGCAAAGGTAGAGGGCTCCTCTCTCCATGTTCCTGAGCCTTGGAAACAAAGCCTTTCACCTCTACAGTGTTTGTTTACAGTGGGGGCAAACTTCTGAGTGTCTGTGACATGAACTCATTTACAAGCATTTTTGTCCGCATTACGTAATGCCCTGTGTTCGGTGCCAGTTATTGGTGGTGGTGGTGGTTGTGGAGGAGGACGATGATTCGAGAAAACTAGATCCTGATCTCAGAGGCCTCTATCCACTTTAGACACAACATACACATATGACACAACTTGCAAACAATTACAAAACAGCAGCACAGTGTAAACGAAACATACATGCGCTGAGAGCCAGTAATCAGCGTGGGAGTAAGGCTGATGGCAGGGTGCTTGCTGGAAACATGGTTTGAAGGGAGTCTGGAAGAATGCCAGGCCCACCGACGGAGGCATTTGGGGGACTGGATTGATGTTAAATAGGAAGTCAGCATCTACTCATCTCTGGAGATACAACCATTACGTCCCCCAAGGCACTGTGGCCCATCTGGCACTTACTCTCACTGGTTTGCCTTTGCAAAGGTTCCGCGGTCCTCTCCACCTTCTTGCTCTCACCATTTGGCTGCCACAAATAGAAACCACTGCTAGGGATACCTGGCCCACCTGCACACGTCTTTCAACTCCTGCAGACTTCAGACTGTACCGGGGGGCATCAGAGTACACCTCACTAGCATAACTGCTTATGCCCTGGTCCTGCCCCTGCCTCTATCTTCCAAGGGAGAAATCAAGTCCTTTGGATGCCCAGAGCCACAAGGGTCCCCACCTCACGAAGCCAGGTATGCTGCTCACTCTCTGCAGAGAACACTTGAGCAGGGTTGGTGCAGGCCCTACTCATTGATAGGGCTGTGGCCAACTACAGGTGACAGCTGTCCACTCTGACTGTGACTGCCCTGGAAGCTTGTCCTGGCCACGAGGTTCAGTATAGAGGGCATGGATTATGAAGCGCAATACCTGAAGCAGTGTAGCTTGAGGGCAGATGGCACTATTTTTAACCACCTCTCAGGCCAGGAAGGTCATTAGTGAGGAATGTTGCATGGGGGAGATTGAGGGATTCCGTTGGGCCTGTCCAGTCGTTACTTGTAATTTTTCAAAACACAAACAGAAGGCCAGTTGATTCATTTACAGTGGAAAATGCAATTGGCACACAATTTGGAAATATTCAAAGGACGTACAAAGCTGTTCAGTGAATAAGAAACTCAACTAAAGACAATCAGATGGACCAAATAGCTAAAGACATCAGGTCAAGAAAGCCCAAGGCAGCCATGTTACCATGCCGAGTTCCAACTCCTTAGCATCATTCATCCTTACATCTGGATTTCATCAGGACTTTTAAACACTCAGGATGCAGCCCCCTCCCATGGCCACGAGGACTGAATATAGCCCTGGGCAGTTGCCCACCCACTGCCTCCGGAATGGCTCATCACCAATTCTCTGGGAGAGATTCTGCTGTCAGCGATGATCTCAGCTTTTGGACTTGTACCTGTTTGGATTTGGCTAGTCACTGGATGACCCATTTAGATTCTGTAATCTGGCTTCTGAACAGAACAACTAGGGCCAGGTAGGGTAGTTCACACCTGTAATCCCAGCGCTCTGGGGGGCCAAGGCAGGAGGATCACTTGAGATCAGGAGATTGAGGCCTAGGCAACATGGCGAGACCCTGTCTCTACAAAACAAAAACAAAAACAAAAACAAAAACAAAAACAAACTAACCAGGCATAATGGTACATGCCTGTAATCCCTGTGGATTAGCAGGCCAAGGTGGGAGAATTATTTGAGCCCAGGCATTCAAGACCAGCCTGGGCACACAGTGAGACTCCATCTCTAAAAAAAATTTAAAAATTAGTCAGGTGTGGCCAGGCATGGTGGCTCACGCCTATAATCCCAGCACTTTGGGAGGCTGAGGCAGGCGGATCACGAGATCAGGAGATCAAGACCATCCTGGCTAACATGGTGAAACCCCGTCTCTACTAAAAATACAAAAAAATTAGCTGGGCGTGGTGGCGGGTGCCTGTAGTCCCAGCTACTTGAGAGGCTGAGGTAGGAGAGTGGTGTGAACCTGGGAGGCGGAGGTTGCAGTGAGCCGAGACTGCGCCACTGCACTCCAGCCTGGGGGACAGAGCGAGACTCCCTCTCAAAAAAAAAAAAAAATTAGTCAGGTGTGATGGTGCCTGTAGTCCCAGCTACTCAGGAGGGTGAAGTGGGAGGATCCCTTGAACCCAGAGGCTGAGGCTGAAGTGATCAGTTACCATGCCACTGCACTCCAACCTGGGCAACAAGGCGAACAGAGCCTTTTGACATGGACTTAGAGACCTGCCTCACCTTGGCATCAGTCCACTGATTTGGGGGCTGTCATTTGACCTGACCGTTCTAGTGTCTACTCCATATTTCTCCATCTTGGCTGCAAACAATAATAAGTCTGTTAGGAGACCTGCTGAATCTAGGATCTCTGTGCCTCACATCACGAGCTGAGGTTGGTCTGGGGCTGCAGTTGATGACCCATTCCAGCTCCCATGAATTGTCACATCCTTTTCTACGGGGTCCTGAGTCACCCTTTAATCTTGCTTAGCCCTCTGCCCCAATGTTTGAAGTTTCTGTTGCCTTCCTTTCAGGAAAGGGAATGGCGTTTTGACCCTCTCCAATCTTTCAGCGCATCTTCCATTGTCGTTTTTCAAAGACCAGTGGCAGGGACTCAGCATCCCGTTTCTCAGTAGCCTGGGATAGAACTAGTCTGGGCCAAAGGACCTAAACTTTTTTTGAGTAGCCAGGCACTTGTTTACAAACTCTTCGGCCTATCTTGGACCAGCTAAGAGCTACCTCCCTCCCTGGCAAAGCTCATGCACACAGTTCCCTCCCAGGTCTGAAAGGCAGAGACTGCCCCGCCCCCACCACACTGGCCACAGGTCCCACCTTCCATTTCAGCCTCTGCCAGAAATCCCCCTGCCCCATCCGCTGTCTGTCCCCTGCAGCTACTAGCAGCAGGCCTGCCCTTTCTGAACAGAACCAAAAGTTCCTTTCAATTGTCTTCTCTGGCAGCATTCTATTACAGTTGTTTATTTCCTCCATTACAAAAAGTAGCACAAGCTCATGAAAGAAAATGTAGAAAATCCAGCTAGGTAGCAAGACAAAGGAAGGAAAAACAACTTCCTGCCCCATTACCTAAGATCAAGCACGGTTAACATTTCAGTACCAGTACCGTAGGGAGGCTATCCTAACAGGCTCCTGTGTCTTTTTTTTTTGTTTTGTTTTTTTTGAGACAGAGTCTTGCTCTTGCCGCCCAGGTTGGAGTGCAATGGCACAATCTCGGCTCACTGCAACCTCCGCCTCCTGGGTTCAAGCGCTTCTCCTGCCTCAGCCTCTGGAGTAGCTGGGATTACAGGTGTCCACCACCACGCCCGGCTAATTTTTGTATTTTTAGTAGAGATGGGGTTTTGCCATTTTGGCCAGGTTGGTCTCAAACTCCTGACCTTGTGATCCACCCCCCTCAGCCTCCCAAAGTGCTGGGATTACAGACATGAGCCACCGTGCCTGGCCAGGTCTCCTGTATCTTTACATGCCTTCTTTTAAAATTTCCTTTTAGGCCGGGCGCGGTGAGACTCTGTCTCAAAAAAAAAAAAAAAAAAATTCTTTTAAATCTGAGCTCTAATTATGAACATTTTGTATACCCTTTGACAAAACAATTCCACTTCTGCAGAATCCCTGTGACTGTGCCCAAAGATTTGATCCACCAGCAACCCCGGCACAAGGGGCCTGTTCTCCAGAGCACCAGCAGGAACAGGTGTAGCTGGAGGGCAAGGATGTTACTGGAAGCAGTTTGGACAAACCCAAAAAAGGTCCCTCACTATCACAGCAGTGTTCTTTGGGGAAGAAGGTAGAAATGAGGAATGAAGGGTATATTTTCACTTTTACTTTATACACTTAAAAAAAAAAAAAAAAACAGGGCCAGGTGCGGTGGCTCATGCTTGTAATCCCAGCACATTGGGAGGCCGAGGTGTGAGGCTTGCTTGAGCTCAGGAGCTCAAGACCAGCCTGGGAAACATAGTGAGACTCTGTCTCTACAAAAAAATTTTAAAAATTAGCTAGGCATGGTGCATGGTGGTGCACACCTGTAGTCCAGGTACTTGGAGGCTGAGGCCAAAGAATTGTCTGAGCCCAGGAGCTTAAGGCTTCCATGAGCTGTGACTGTGCCACTGCACTCCAGTCTGGGTGGCAGAGTAGGTCTTGTCTCAAAACAAAAATAATCAAAATAAATAAATATAAATAAAAACAAAAAAACAAGATTTTTGCAGAGATTCTTGTCTTAGTTTTTCCATTTCTGATGTTCCCATATTTTCTACAGGGAGCATATGTTGCTTTTGTAATCACAGAAGTGTAAGATAGTGGTATGGACTGAATTATGTTCACCAAGAAGTTCTAGCTTCATATGTATTTGTAGGTAAAGTCTTTAAAGAGGTAATTAAGTTAAAATGAGGTCCTTAGGGTGGGCCCTAATCCAGTAGGATGGCTGTCCTTATAAGAAGAGAAGATTAGGCAGGGCCAGGCACGGTGGCTCATGCCTGTAATCCCAGGACTTTGGGAGGCTGAGGCGGGCGGATCACTTGAGATCAGGAGTTGAGACCAGACTGACCACCTGGTGAAACCCCGTCTCTATTAAAAATTCAAAATTAGCCGGGTGTAGTGGTGCATGCCTGTAATCCCAGCTACTTGGGAGACTAAGGGAGGAGAATCGCTTGAACCCGGGAGGCAGAGGTTGCAGTGCGCCGAGATCACGCCATTACACTCCAGCCTGGGCAACAAGAGCAAAACTCTGCCTCAAAAAAATAAAAGGGAAGAGAAGATTAGGACACAGACATGCAAGAGGGAAAAATGTGAGGACACAAGGAGAAAATGGCCATCTGCAAGCCAAAGAGAGACACCTCAGAATAAATCAGCTCTGCAGACACCTTGATTGTGAACTTCTGGACTCTAGAATTGTAAGAAGCTAAATGTCTACGGTTTAAGCCACCCAGTCTGTGGAACTTTTGTTATGGCAGCCTACCAAATTTGTTTGCAAATTACATTGCAAACAAATGCAATGGTCAGGAGTTTGGGACCAGCCTGGCCAACATGGTGAAACGCCCGCCTCGGCCTCCCAAAGTGCTGGGATTATAGGCACGAGCCACCGCGCCCGGCTGTCGGTCACTTTTTGGTGCGTGGCTAGAATTTGAGCTTCAGTCTGTGAGTCAGGGACCAAGCAGAGGATCCCACAAAGCAAAGAGTGAGGTGTCTCTCCTGCAAGCTGCCACCACCGCAGTCACACCAACAGGCTCAGAAAGCCCTGAGAGCAGTTCTCAGTGAGGAGTGGTGCCCAATAGAAAGCCTATATCCCCTGTTGGTGACAGTGGGGAAGAGAAAGGCCGGAGTCAGGGAAGTGGTGGCTCTTGGCCAGAAGAATATTCCAAAGAGCAGACGGCAGAACGTTCCATTTGGTGGCCCCTTGGGGCCCACCATATACCCAGGTGTTCTGACCCTGTTGTGGGTTCCAGACCCCTTTGGAAATCCAATGAGAATAAGGAACCACCCCCTAGAAAGACACAAACACACACACACACACACACACACACACATAGATTTGGACACTAATTCAGGGAGTTTGTGTCCTCCTTGAGCCAACATTCAGGTTCTCTAATTTCAAACCTCTGCTCTACTGAGAACCATAAAAAAGCAGTTTATGGAACTGTTCGACCTGGCTCCTGCCAGTGCAAAAACTGTTCACTGAGCAGAAGACGAGATGGGACTGAAAGGTAAACAGTCAGATGTAAACAAAGAGAAAGCCAGGAACCTTTACACAAACATTCCCGCAAAGCAGGAGGCTGCAGGCTCCATGTGGCTCTGAACACAGCTTTTCTGATAGCAGAGACTGAATTGGGCACAGAACATCTGCTTTGCGTAATGTGCTCTTTGCAGAGGCAGGCAACAGAACCTGTGGCCCCAGAAATGTTTCCCCTTGAGCTGAAGCTTATCAGAGAACAGAAAGATAGGTGGAACCACGTTCCAGTGTAGATGAAACTGACCAATATGATAAGAAAATGAAACTGTGAACATGTATGAGTAAGCCCCAGGGTTTTGTGTGGCCATCTTCAGGGACTCTTGTAGGCAGTGACGACATGGTAGGCTTGGGAAGCTCTCTGGGCTCACTCCTACATTCTCTGAACACTAGACTGTAAGTAGTAGAGAAGTAAGGGCTCTTGCCTATATATTGGATTATTGTTTTCTTTCTTTCTTTCTTCCCTCCTTCCTTCCTTCCTTCCTCTCTCTCTCTTTCTTTCTTTCTTTCTTTTTGAGATAGAGTCTTGCTCTGTCACCCAGGCTGGAGTGCAGTGGCGCAATCTTGGCTTGCTGCAACCTCCGCCTCCAGGGTTCAAGCAGATTCTCCTGCTTCAGCCTCCCAAGTAGCTGAGACTACAGGCACGCACCACCACACCTGGCTAATTTTTGTATTTTTAGTAGAGATGGGGTTTCACCATGTTGGCCAGGCTGGTCTTGAACTCCTGACCTCAAGTGGTCTGCCTGCCTCGGCCTCCCAAAGTGCCGGGATTACAGGTGTGAGCCACTGCACCCAGCTGCAAGCAGCTTTTTGATGACCTCCTATGGGAGATGAGATTTGTGAAGCTGACAGCATAGCACAGTTGTTAGGACACCAGACTGTGGACCCTCAGTTGGCTGACCTTGGTGGCTCAGATTCCAGCTCAGCCCTTTTCTTTCTGGGTAGCAATGGGCAAAGTGCTGAAGCACTTTCTGTGTAAATTTTCTCATCTGTAAAATGAGGATAACAAAAGCACAGTTGTGAGGACTAACACAGCTAAAGCACTTAGACAGCTGCATCTAATAGTGTAGCCATCAGCCACAGTACCTACTGAGCACTTGAAATGTGGCTTGTCTATCCCAGCTACTTGGGAGGCTGAGGCAAGGAGAATTGCTTGAACCTGGGAGGCGGAGGTTGCAGTGAGCTGAGATCGTAACAATGCGAGACTCCATCTCAAAAAAAAAAAAGAAAAAGTAAAACAAAAAGAAAACGTGGTTTGTCTAAACTGAGATGTACCCTGCGTGGTGCTCGCGCCTGTAATCCCAACACTTTGGGAGGCTGAGTCGGGAGGCCAGGCACAGTGGCTCACACCTGTAATCCCAACAGTTTGAGAAGCTGAGGCGGGAGGATCGCTTGAGCCCAGGAGTTTGTGACCAGCCTGGACAACATGGTGAGACCCTGTCTCTACAAAAAAAAAAAAAAAAATTTAAAAATTAGCCTGGTGTGGTGGCATGTGCCTGTAGTCTCAGCTACTCGGGAGGCTGAGGAAGGAGGACTGCTTGAGTTTAGAAGGTCAAAGCTGCAGTGAGCCATGATTGTGCCACTGCACTCCAGCCAGGGTGACAGAGTGAGACCCTGTCTCAAAAAAACAAAACAAACAAAAAAACCCTGAAATGTGATGTATGCATAAATTCACATCGGATTTTGAAGACTTCATACAAAAAAGGCCAGGTGCAATAGCTCATACCTGTAATCCCAGCACTTTGGGAGGCTGAGGTGGGTGGATTGTTTGAGTCCAGGAGTTTGAGACCAGCCTGGGCAACATCGTGAAACCCCATCTTTACAAAAAATACAAAACATTATCAGGGCCTGGTGGTACGCGCCTATAGTCCCAACTACTCGGGAGGCTGAGGTGGAAGGATCACCTGAGCCTAGGGGAGGTCAAGGATGTAGTGAGTTGTGATCGTGCCACACTCCAGTCTAGGCAACAGAGTGAGACCCTGTCTCAAAAAAAAGTAAAATAACTCCCTAATTATTGATTATATTGGGTTACATAGAATATATTGTAATACATAGAATATATTATTTGTTTGTTTGTTTTTGAGATGGAGTCTCACTCTGTTGCCCAGGCTGGAGTGTAGTGGCACCATCTCGGCTCACTGCAACCTCCACCTCCAGGCTGGAGTGTAGTGGCACCATCTCGGCTCACTGCAACCTCCACCTCCAGGCTTCAACCGGTTCTTCTGCCTCAGCCTCCTGAGTAGCTGGGATTACAGGCGTATGCCATCACGCCTGGCTAATTTTTGTATTTTTGGTAGAGACGGGCTTTCCCCATATTGGCCAGGCTGGTCTTGAACTTCTGACCTCAAGTGATCTGCCTGCCTCAGCCTCCCAAACTGCTGGGAGGACAGGAGTGAGCCACCACACTCAGTCTAAATAGAATATATTATTACAATTAATTTCACCAGTGGGTTTTTTGTTTTTACTTTTAAAAATGCAGCTACTAGAGTTTTTAAAACTACGCTCTTTTCTGCCATGGTGAAAAGTAAATTAATAAATTAAAAAACAACTACTAGGCCAGGCGCAGTGGCTCACGCCTGTAATCCTAGCACTTTGGGAGGCCGAGGCGGGCGGATCACCTGAGGTCTGGAGTTTGAGACCAGCCTGACCAACATGGAGAAACCCCATCTCCACTAAAAATACAAAATTAGCCGGGCATGGTGGCACATGCCTGTAATCCCAGCTACTCGGGAGGCTGAGGCAGGAGAGTCACTTGAACCCGGGAGGCGGAGGTTGCGGTGAGCCAAGATCACACTATTGCACTCCAGCCTGGGCAACAAGAGTGAAACTCCATCTCAAAAAAAACCCAAAAACAAACATTAACAACAACAACAAAACTACCTATGTGGCTTGCATTATGTGTTTATTGGACAGCAGCTGCTTAGAACAAGCCTGGTGTGGAGTAAGTCAGTGTAATTGTTAGCTGCTGTCAGTGTTCAGTGCCTGACACGTGGTAAGGGCTTATTGAAGAGCAGTTTTTTGGTTTTTGTTTTGTTTTGAAATGGAGTCTAGTTCTTTCACCCAGGCTGGAGTGCGGTGGTGCGATCTCAGCTCACTGCAACCTCCGCCTCCCAGGTTCAAGTGATTCTCATGCCTCAGCCTCCTGAGTAGCTGGGATTACAGGTGCTCCCCACCATGCCTGGCTAATTTTTGTATTTTTAGTAGAGACCGGGTTTCACCATGTTGGCCAGGCTGGTCTCAAACTACTGAACTCAGGCAATCTGCCTGCCTTAAACTCCCAAAGTGCTAGGATTATGAGCATGAGCAACCATGCCTGGCCTGTTTTTTTTTTTTTTCTTTTTTTGTGACAGGGTCTCACTTTGTCGTCCAGGCTGAATGAGTGTAGTGGTGTGATGTCAGCTCACTGCAGCCTAGATGTTCTGGGCTCACACAGTCCTCTCACCTCAGCCTTCTGAATAGCTCTGACTATAGGCATACACCACCATGTCCTGCTAAGTTTTCTACTTTTTTAGAGACGGGGTCTTGCTATGTTGCCCAGGCTGGTCGCAAACTCCTAGGCTCAAGCGATCCTCCTGCCTCAACTTCCCAAAGTGTTGGGATTACAGGTGGAGAGCCACTGTGCCTGGCCTTGAATGGCAGTTTTGAAGACTTCTCTCCATCCCCTCTCTTGCCTCTCTGCCTTGGCAATCCAACCTGGAAAGCATTGTCTGTTTCCTTCCCAGCTTGTCCTATTCACCGGCAGTGAGAGCCCTGTCTTTCCTTTGATCCTCCCAACTCCCAGTGCCTCTCCAGGGGTGCTGAGCCCCCCAGTGGATTTCCATGCTGGTGGGACTTTCTGGGTGTCCAGTTTCCCATCACCTCCCCTCTCCCACCAGCTCTGGGCCCGAGTACCTCTGCGTTCCCCCGGAGTCCACCCACCTGGGGTGTTGTGATCACTCTTTGCCATCGTCACTCTCGGGTTTTCTCCTTAGGCCCTGCTCTTCTGAGGCTTGATCTGTGATGCCGGGAGAGGTGGGACGCTGCCAGAAGGGGCTACTGGCAGGCTGCCAAGAGGCTGCCCACAGAGGCCTTTGCCCTGACAAATTCACCCCTGGGGCCCTGGGTCTGCCCTCCGCCTGGCAGCTGGTGGAGAGGAGAGCCAGGTCCCAGCTGTGGACTCAGACTAATCAATTGCTCAGGAGGCCAATATATACACCAGGTGGTAAGTTTCCAATGCATTTAGCAGGGTGAGACCGGTTTTTGTTTAGGAAAATATCTTGATAGCCACTTTTGTTGAGGAAGGGGAGGTGCTAAGGACATAGTTGAAGGAAGATGTTTAAACACAGGAGGAATCAAACGGCTTTACAGAGAACGTTAACCGGAACTTGGGGGCGAGGGACCCCAAAAGAGAAGAAGAAATGGAAAGATGGTCATAGAAATGAAGGGTGAAGGAGGGAGGAGGGAGGGAGAAAACAAAATGGCAAGGGCAGAGCCTGGGAGGTATGTGTCCACTGAGAATTTCACAGTGGCGGGGAGACCAAAGGGCTTTTTTTTTTTTTTTGAGACTCTTGTTGCCCAGGCTGGAGTGCAATGGCGTGATCTCAGCTCACTGCAACCTCCGCCTCTGGGTTCAAGTGATTCTCCTACCTCAGCCTCCCGAGTAGCTCGGATTACGGGCATGTGCTGCCACACCCAGCTAATTTTGTATTTTTAGTAAGATGGAGTTTCTCGATGTTGGTCATGTTGGTCTTGAACTCCCAACCTCAGGTGATCCGCCCGCCTCAGCCTCCCAAAGTGTTGGGATCACAGGAGTGAGCCACTGCACCCAGCCTCGAAGGACTTTTTTTTTTTCTTTTCTTTTTTTTTTTTTGGTGATGGAGTCTTGCTCTGTGGCCCAGGCTGGAGTACAGTGGTGCGATCTCAGCTCACTACAGCTTCTGCCTCCCAGGTTCAAGCAATTCTCCTGCCTCAGCCTCCTGAGTAGCTGGGACTACGGGCGCATGCCACCACCCCCGGCTAATTCTTTAATTTTTAGTAAAGACGGGGTTTCACCATGTTGGCCAGGCTGGTCTCGAACTCTTGTCCTTGTGATCTGCCTGTCTTGGCCTCCCAAAGTGTTGGGATTACAGGCATGAGCCACCATGCCAGACCTCAAAGGACTTTTAAGAACAGGATCTGTACTATTCTTTTTGAAATGGTTTGTTTTCCTACTAAGTACACCCCAGTACACCCCTCTATTGCCCAAGCCTTCAGTAAAAGCTGTAGCTCATGTGACAAGAAAGCATAGAAAGGCCGGGCACGGTGGCTCACACCTGTAATCCCAGCACTTTCACTTTGGGAGGCTGAGGCGGGTGGGTCACCTGAGGTCAGGAGTTTGAGACCAGCCTGGCCAACATGGTGAAACCGCATCTCCATTAAAAATACGAAAAAGCCGGGCGTTGTGGCTCACGCCTGTAATCCCAGCACTTTGGGAGGCCAAGGTGGGTGGATCACGAGGTCAAAAGTTCAAGACCAGCCTGATCAACATGGTGAAACCCCATCTCTACCAGAAATACAAAAATTAGCCGGGTGTGGTGGCGGGTGTCTGTAGTCCCAGCTACTCGGGAGGCTGAGACAGGAGAATCGCTTGAACCTGGGAGGCAGAGGTTACAGTGAGCTGAGATCACGTCACTGCACTCCAGTCTGGGTGACAGAAAAAGACTGTCTCATTAAAAAAAAAAAAGAAAGAAAGAAAAGAAAGAAAAAAGAAAGCATAGAAAGAGGGCTTTTTTTTTTTTTTTTTCTAGGATGGGCACAGAGCAGAGGGACATCACCGGGAAGTGAGAGGCAGGGACTCAGGAGGTCAACACTGCAGGACTGGGGCCAGGGGCACTGGAAAGCCCTCTAGAATCCTGGAAGCAGTGAGGAGAATGTCCGGGGCCCGACTGCCATGGGCTAGGAGTAGGAGGAGACTCGATTTAGAGCTCGAAGGCTAGGGCCACCCAAGCTGTGCAACTGGGCCCAGCCTGGGCAGCTGTCATGCTCGGGCACTTTGTCCCTATCCAGCCTTACCTCATGGCCAGACCAGCATAAAAAACAGGCCTGCGGGGAGGGCCTGGCGGGACTGAGTCTTGTCAAGGAGTAATCTGGGGCTGCACACAGCTGGCCCTGGCTGTGGTGTGATAAAGGACTCGCCCCAGCCAGGGGCTCAGCCCACTGCCCCTCCCCAGGTAGACACTGCCACCTTCTGGCTGTTCGTCAACTGGCTGCCGGCCCCCGCCTCCTCCACACCTCCTTCAAGACAGGCTTTCTCCTCACCAAGAAACAGAATTGTGGAGGTTTCCTTTACCTGCTTACAATCCTGTCTTCCCGGGCTCCCATAAGGTCACTTGAATTAGAGTCTGGGTGATCCCAACCTTTAAAAACAACTTTACAAAACAATCTTTTGAGAGTACCTCTAAAGTGTTCTCGTTTTTTTTAAAAAAATGGGTAACAACGGTAACTATGGGAGGTGATGAGTGTGTCAATCAGCTTGATTGTCATAATCATCTCACGTGTCCATATACCAAGTCATCACGTTGTATGCTTTTAATATGTATACTTTTATTTGTCAATTGTATTTCAACAAAGCAGAAAAAAACCACTCTAGTCTTTTGGTCTCCTCCCACTGATGGCTTCCCACAACTGTCGCTGCCTCATTTTTCAGTTGATTGGGGGCAGGGCCCCACGGTGTGGTGTCACCGTCACTGGTATAAAGGCATTTGAGGCTACAGACACTGTTCCTGGTCGTTCCTCCTTGGTTTTTGTTGTTTTGTTTGCTGGTTGGTGGGGTGTTTTTCTTTTTGTCTTTTTTTTTTTTTTTGAGACGGAGCCTTGCTCTGTCACCCAGGCTGCAGTGCAATGGTGTGATCTCAGCTCACTGCAACCTCTGCCTCCCTAGTTCAAGAGATTCTCCTGCCTCAGTCTCCCAAGTAGCTGGGATTACAGGCACCCACCACCACACCCGGCTAATTTTTGTATTTTTAGTAGAGACTGAGTTTCACCATGTTGGCCAGACTGGTCTAGAACTCTTGACCTTGTGATCTGCCCACCTCAGCCTCCCAAAGTGCCGGGATTACAGGTGTGAGCCGCGGCGCCCAGCCGGTGGGGTGTTTTTTGCTGGGATTCCCCGGGCCTCTCCACTACTGTGCTCTGCGCCGGCGGGTTTGCCGGGATCCCCGTAACCAGCTTCTTGAGTTTATCAAGGTGTTTGTCTCCCTCCACAGCAACAGTTTGTTAATTTTCTCTCTCTCCTTACCTGAATATGGGGAAATGCTTTCCTGCCTTTCCTCCTGAGAATCACTCTATCCTGGCCAAAAACCCTTTGTTTTGGTCTCTCCAAGTCAGTGCTGAAACCCAAGCTTTCTCCACCAAAGGGAGTCCCAGCTCTTCACCTCCCAAATCTTCCCGTTCCCAAGTCCCAAACAGGGAAGAGAGCTCGGGCAACTGTGGAGATTGGAGTCTTGCCTTAGACTCCAAGGACCAGGCCCTTGTCCAGGGAAGCCCTTGGTCCTGTGGAATCTGCAGGGGTGGGGGTGGGGAGACTGCTGGAGAGACCTCTGGGTGACACGTTCCCCCCGACACAATGGAAACTCACATGGTCCAGCTGTCCATCCTCCACGGGCTCCACTCCCCACCCGTCCCTGGCTTGCAGATCCTCTTAACACGGCATGTTTCCTTCCCTCCCCTCCACAGAGTTGGCTGACTCATTAGGCACTTCCCACAGTCCAGTTCCTTCATCCCCCTGCCGCTCCTGCCACAAGCTTGCTGCTGGAGTCTGGAGGACCTCAAATATTTCCAAGGACGTCAGACTTTGGGAGGCTGAGGACTTCACGGCCCGAGGGGAGAGCAAGCCGTCCGGCCGCTGAGACCCACTCAGAGCACGAACAGGGCAGGTGCTCAGAGGGCTCGCCCTCCCATCCACCCCAAACTGGCTGTTGGACATTCTAGTGTTGACCGAGAGAAAGAAGCTGAGGCAAAATCAATATACAGGGTTAATTTGGGCCAAGAGTGAGGACAGCCATTGGGGACACACTTCAAGTTGCCTTGGGGTACGCTGTGTGTTCGGCTTTTGTTACAAGCAGGCCTTTAAAGGCAAAAGGGGACAAGGAGTGGGTGATTCAACAATGTTCTTATTAGTTTGCAGGAATAACATTGGCTTGTGATTGGCTATGCATTGTTGAGCTATGGGGTATGAGTTATAGTGTCTGGAATATGGCATTTTATGGCTATGTGGTGGTGTCAGTTAGTCTAGAGCCCATATAGCAAGTGGCTTCAAGAGGTAATTATTTAGCTTGGTGGTCGGGGGCGGGTGAGATGTGACTGCTGTCATATGCTGTTGCATTTCTTTTTTGAGACAGAGTCTTACTCTGTTGCCCAGGCTGGAGTGCAGTGGTGCAATCTTGGCTCAAGCAATTCTCCTGCCTCAGCCTCCTGAGTAGTTGGGATTACAGGCGTGTGCACCAGTACGCCCAGCTAATTTTTTTTTTTTTTTTGAGACAGAGTCTCGCTCTCTCGCTCTGTCACCCAGGCTGGAGTGCAGTGGTACGATCTCGGCTCACTGCAACCTCTGCCTCCGGGGTTCAAGTGATTCTCCTGCCTCAGCCTCCCGAGTAGCTGGGATTACAGGTACACCATGCACAGCTAATTTTTTGTATTTTTAGTAGAGACAGGGTTTCACCATGTTGGCCAGGCTGGTCTCGAACTTCTGACCTTGTGATCTGCCCACCTGGGCCTCCCAAAGTGCTGGGATTACAGGTGTGAGCCACTGCGCCCAACCTGCTGTTGCATTTCAAAGATTCTCTGGGCCTGATAACGAAAGGGGGACTTGCATCCTTTTTTTTTTTTTTTTTTTTTTTTGAGATGGAGTCTCGTTCTGTCACCCAGGCTGGAGGGCAATGGTGTGATCTCGGCTCACTGCAACCTCTGCCTCCCGGGTCAAAGCCATTCTCTTGCCTCAGCCTCCCAAGTAGCTGGGATTACAGGCACCCGCCACCACGCCCAGCTAATTTTTTGTATTTTTAGTAGAGACAGGGTTTCATTATGTTGGCCAGGCTGGTCTTGAACTCCTGACCTTGTGATCCACCCACCTTGGCCTCCCAAAGTGCTGGTATTACAGGCGTGAGCCACTGCGCCTGGCCTGGGACTTGCATTCTTCAGATAAAGTTTTTTATTGTTGTTGTTTGTTTTTGAGATGGGATCTCTGTTGCTCATGCTGGAGTGCAGTGGCACGATCTCGACTTACTGCAGCCTTGAACTCCTGGGCTCAAGTGATCCTCCTACCTCAGTCTCCTGAGTAGCTAGGACTACAGGTGTGCACCATGCCAGTATATTTTTTATTTATTGTAGAGATGGGGTATTGTTATGTTGCCTAGGCAGGTCTCGAACCCCTAGGCTCAAGTGATTCTCCTGCCTCAGCCTCCGAAAGTTTTGGGACTACAGGCGTGAGTCACCACACCTAGCCAACACAACACTTCTAATGCCAAACGTTTGGGCTTTTTTTCTCCATACAACTAGTAATTCTGCAGCAGACACCAGTTGGGATTCCCATAATTCAATTCAATTCTGACATGATCTACCTGGAGATACAGGGGGTGAGCTCTGGAAGGGTCCTGAGCACAGGAGTGTTGGGAATAGGCCTCCAAAATCTGGCCATAAACTGGCCCCAAAACTGGCCATAAACAAAGTCTCTGCAGCACTGTGACATGTTCGTGATGGCCACGACGCCCACACTGAAGGTTGTGGGTTTACCGGAATGAGAGCAAGGAACACCTGGCCCACCCAGGGCGGAAAACCGCTTAAAGGCGTACCTAAACCACAAACAGCAGCATGAGTGATCTGTGCCTTAAGGACATGTTCCTGCTGCAGATAACTAGCCAGAGCCCATCCCTTTGTTTCCGCCCATCTCTTTGTTTCCCATAAGGAATAGTTTTAGGTAATCTATAATCTACAGAAATAATGCTTATCACTGGCTTGCTGTCAATAAATCGTGGGTAGATTTCTGTTCAGCGTTCTCAGCTCCGAAGGCTGTGAGGCCCCTGATTTCCCACTCTGCACTCTATATTTCTGTGTGTGTGTGTCTTTAATTCCTCTAACGCCGCTGGGTTAGGATCTCCCCGACCGAGCTGGTCTCAGCACAGGAGCTTCCATCTCTGTGGAGTTGGGGTGAACCACCCTCCCAGCAGATGGAAGTCTTCTTGTTCACCTACCTGGAAGCTCTCTGAACACTGTCCTTTTGCGTTTTGTGGGTGATTCCTGGTCATGATTGATTACATCATTGGCCATAACAAATATGCTTTTCTTTTTTTTGAGACAGGGTCTTGCCCTGTCACTCAAGCTGGAGTACAGTGGTGCGATCTCTGCTCACTGCAACCTCCACCTCCCAGGGTCAAGCGATTCTTGTGCTTCAGCCTCTTGAGTAGCTGGTGTGCGCCACTACACCCGGCTAATTTTTTGTATATTTAGTGGAGACATGGTTTTGCCATGTTGCCCAGGCTGGTCTGGAACTCCTGAGCTGAGGCAATCCTCCTGCCTCAGCCTCCCAAAGTGCTAGGATTATAGGTGTGAGCCACAGCGCCCGGCCATCCTGTTTTATTTTCTTCTTGCATGTATCCTTTTCTGAAGCTTGAGCTCCAGGGCCCCTTCACTTGCATAGGCCCTTTCCAAGGGTCAGTACCTAATTCGCATTACTTTCTTAAAAAGGACTCCCTTATCCTGCCAATCCAACTAAAAGCTTCAGACTCCATAAGATCTAAATCCATTTGTACCTAGAGCAGAGGACCAGGCTGCAATTAGTACATCCTGTGTCTGCCTCTGGCAGAAAGACAAACTCAGCATTCCTCCTGCCAGGCCACTTCTACAGGTCATTGCTCTCCCCACCTCTTCAGGCCTGAGTGCCAAGAGGCAGCCTGGCCCAAGAGTCTTCGTAACTGCCCTGCTAACAGTGCCCTGGATTGGCGGGGAGGGGGTGTCAAAACTCCAAGAGCTGCCGTGTGTACTTCTCTCTTCTGGATACCTTCCACCATGACTCTGCCAAACAGACATAAACCTTCTCAACCAGCAACCACCCCACTCTAAACTACTCAGAAAAGAGGTTGAAAAACCAATAAGACTTCTGCAGAATCTCTTTCCTTTCCAATCTGCAAAGCTAACCCTTACCTCTATCCCCTACCCCACCTCTTACCAGCCTGGGAAAATACAGTTGGCCCTCTGTATCTGTGGGTGCTGTATCTGTCATGCGTGTCCGTGTGAAGAGAGTCCACCAACAGGCTTTGTGTGAGCAACAAGGCGTTTATTTCACCTGCGTGCAGGCGGGCTGAGTCCGAAAAAGGAGTCAGCAAAGGATGGTGGGATTATCATTAGTTCTTGTAGGTTTGGGATAGGTGTACAAAGTACCTTCTTAAGGGCGGGGGAGAATATTACAAAGTACCTTCTTAAGGGCGGGGGAGAACATATCATATCAGTTGGGGTGGGGCAGGAACAAATCACAATGGTGGAATGTCATCAGTTAAGCTATTTTCACTTCCTTTGTGGATCTTCAGTTGCTTCAGGCCATCTGGATGTATATGTGGAGGGCACAGGGGATATGATGGCTTCGCTTGGGCTCAGAGGCCTGACATTCCTGTCTTCTTATATTAATAAGAAAAACAAAACAAAATAGTGGTGAAGTGTTGGGGCGGCGAAAATTTTTGGGGGTGGTATGGAGAGATAATGGAAGATGTTTCTCAGGGCTGCTTCGAGCGGGATTAGGGGCAGCATGGGAATCCAGAATGGGAGAGATTAAACTGAAGAAAGATTTTGGGGTAAGGGGTGATGTTGTGGGGTTGTTAGAAGGAGCATTTGTCGTATAGAATGATTGGTGATGGCCTGGAAGCGGTTTTTTATGAATTGAGAAACTAAACAGAAGACACAAGGTCCGAATAAGAGGAAGAGAAAAACAGGTATTAAAGGACTAAGAATTGGGAGGACCCAGGACATCCAATTAGAGAGTGCCCAAGGGGGTTCAGCATAATTATTTGCTTGGTTGGCGAGTTTTTGGGCTCTATCCTTGAGTTTTTTTATGTTGTATACCAGGCCAGATTGATTTAGGTAAAACAAAAACAAAAAAAACACTTTATTTAAAAATATATGGAGTCTTTTTTTAATTTTTTTTTTAGCAGTGAGTAAGTCGAGGCCTCCACAATTTTGGAGGAAAGAGAAATGCAAAGCCAGAAATTGTTTGTTAAAGAAGGGTTAGAAATGGCTAGGAGAGAGTGAGTGAGATTGATAGTGTGGTGGAGATAGCTGGGGAGAGGTAGAGGGTGGCATAAGAACGGGAACGAGAATAAGAGTGAGTATAAAAGTAAAGAATAGGACTTCATCAGGGTGAAAGTACTGGAGTGCACCCTGTCAGCAAAGATGATCTATCCACTTTGAGAGAGACTTAATGGTGCCGGTTTGAGGTAAAACCAGGAGATATCAGTTATGATGGTTTGGAGGAAAAGTGTAAACTGGCAGTGTAAACAAGGGCAGGGTATTTACAAGTAGTTGAAAATAATGAATATGAGTATGACTAGACAGAAGATAGCAGGGATGACAAGTTTTTGGGGTGCAGTTCAAGTTGGGATGGTGTCTGGAATGAGACTGGGCTCTAATAAAAAGGACTGTCCATACAGGAGCTTAAATGGGCTTTACTAGCACCCTGAGGACAGGCTTTAATTCTGAGAAGGGTGAGAGGTAAAAGTACTGTCCAGTCCTTTTGAAGCTGGAGGCTGAGCTTGGTGAGGTATGTCTTTAAAAGACTATTAGTCCGTTTTACCTTTCCTGAAGATTGAGGACGGTAAGGGGTATGAAGATTTTACTACTGAATACCAAGAGCCTGAGAAACTGCTTGGTGATTTAACTAATAAAGGCCGGTCCGGTATCGGACTGTATAGTGATGGGAAGGCCAAACCGAGGAATTATGTCTGACAGAAGGGAAGAAATGACTGTGGTGGCCTTCTCAGACCCTGTGGGAAAGGCCTCTACCCATCCGGTGAAAGCGTCTACCCAGACCAAGAGGTATTTTAGTTTCCTGACTCGGGGCATGTGAGCAAAGTCAATTTGCCAGTCCTAGGTGGGGGCAAATCCCTGAGCTTGACGTGTAGGGAAGGGGAGGGGGCCTGAACGATCCCTGAGGAGTAGGAGAATAGCAGATGGAACACTGAGAAGTGATTTCCTTGAGGATAGATTTAACCGGACACCATTAGCAGGGAGAGCATGTGTGTTTTCATGAAGAATTATGCCGAGATAGGTAATGGATGAGGAAGGAATTTGGGCTTGACTGAAGTAATGGGGGCTGTCCGTGAAGCCTTGAGGCAGTACAGCCCAGGAAACTTGCTGAGCCTGATGAGTGTCAGGGACAGTCCAAGTGAAAGCGAAGAGAGGCTGGGATGGGACGCAAAGGAATAGTAAAGAAAGCACGTTTGAGATCCAGAACAGAATAATGGCTTGTGGAGGGGTTGTGGAGGGAGGCATTGAGGAGGAGAGTATATGAGTTCGTCACCACGGGGTGGATAGGCAAAACAATTTGGTTGATAAGGCACAGATCCTGAACTAACTTGTAAGACTTGTCTGATTTTTGGACAGGTAAAATAGGGGAATTGTAAGGAGAGTTTATAGGCTTTAAAAGGCCATGCTGTAACAGGTGAGTGATAACAGGCTTTAATCCTTTTAAAGCGTGCTGTGGGATGGGATATTGGCATTGAGCAAGGTAGGGTGATTAGGTTTTAATGGGATGGTAAGGGGTGCATGATCGGTCGCCGAGGAGGGAGTAGAGGTGTCCTATACCTGTGGATTAAGGTGGGGAGGTACAAGGGGAGGATGTGAAGGAGGCTTTGAACTGGGGAAAAGGGCGGCAATGAGGTGTGGCTGTAGCCCAGGAATAGTCAGGGAAGCAGATAATTTAAAGTGTCTTGGCCTAATAAGGAACTGGGCAGGTGGGGATAACAAAAGGAGTGCATAAAAGAATGTTGTCCAAGTTGGCACCAGAGTGGGGGAATTTTAAGGGATTTTGAAGCCTGGCCGTCAATACCCACAACAGTTATGGAGGCAAGGGAAACAGGCCCTTGAAAAGAAGGCAATGTGGAGTGTGTAGCCTCCATATTGACTAAGAAGGGGACTGACTTACCCTCCACTTTAAGAGTTACCCAAAGCGTCTGTGATGGTCCAGGAGGCTTCTGAGGTGATTGAGCAGTGTCAGTCTTCAGCTGCGAAGCCAAGAAGATCTGGGAAGGCGTCAGTCAGAGAGCCTTAGGCCAGAGCTTTAGGGGCTCTAAGAGTGGCTGCCGGGCAAGCTGGGTGGTTTGATTTCCAGTGGATCCCTGCACAGATTGGACACAGCTTGGGAGGAATCCTGGGCTGCTGGCATTCCTTGGCCCGGTGGCCAGATTTCTGGCACTTGAAGCAAGGTCCTGATGGAGGAGGTCCTGTAGGAAGGCTTGACCGCTGCAGCTTAGGCATCTACGGCTTAGGCATTTTGAAGTTCTTGTGTGCTGGAGATGTGGCTGGGGTTTCTCTCACAGTGGAGGCAAGGAATTGCAACTCAGAAATATTTTGCTACTTGGCTGCCTCTACTCTATTATTGCATACCTTGAAGGTGAGGTTAATTAAGTCCTGTTGTGGGGTTTGAGGGCCGGAATCTAATTTTTGGAGCTTTATCTAACGTCGGGAGCGGATTGGGTAATAAAATGCATATTGAGAATAAGACGGCTTCCTGGCCCTTCAGGGTCTAGGGCTGTAAAGCGTCTCAGGGTTGCTGCCAAAGGAGCCATGAACTGGGCTGGGTTTTTATATTTGAGGAAAAAGAGCCTAAACGCTAACTGATTTGGGAGAGGTCAGATAAAGAAAAAGGAGCATTAACCTTGACTATGCCTTTAGCTCCAGCCACCTCTTTAAGAGGAAATTGTTGGGCAGGTCGGGGAGGGCTAGTTGCAGAACAAAACTGTAAGCTGGACTGGGTGTGAGGAGGGTAGGTGACAGAAGGATTATAGGATGGGGGAGCGGAGGCTGAGGAAGAATTGGAGCCTGATTCAGCCTGGCAGGGAAAGACCTGAGGAGGAGCAGTTTGGGGAGGAGGGGAGAGGTCAGATGGGTCAGTAGAAAAGGAAGATTGAAAAGACTCAGTGACACTTGGGGTTGGGACTGAGGGGACAGGTGGGAGGGAAAGAAGGAGGATTTGGGATGAGTAGCATTGGAAACAGAGACTAGGGAGGGACCGATGTGTAAAAGAATGCCTGGACATCAGGCATCTCAGACCATTTGCCCATTTTATGACAAGAATTATCTAGATCTTGTAGGATGGAAAAATCGAAAGTGCCATTTTCTGGCTATTTGGAACCACTGTCGAGTTTGTGTTGGGGTTAAGCGGCATTGCAGAAGAAAATAAGGGGTTTAGGTTTTAGGTCAGGTGTGAGTTGAAGAGGTTTTAAGTTCTTGCCAGGCTAAGGGAGAAGAAGGAGGAATGGAGGGTAGAAGGTTGCCCATAGTGAAGGAGGCAAGCCCAGAGAAAAGAGAGAGTGGAGACATGGAGAGAAGGGGTGGGGGGTGTTGCCCCCCAGGAAAGTGGTGCTTGCCACTAAGGGTGAACGATCAAGGCAGGCTTCCCAGCGGTGATCAGACACCTCTGAAACATGGGTGAATAATCAAGCAGGCATTCCCACAGTGATTAAACACCAAGGGAAGACTGTCTTCCCGAGGCCATGACTGGTGCTGGAGTTTTGGGTTCACGGATAGAATGTGTCTCCTCTGTCTCTACCAGAAAAGGAAAGGAACTGAAATTAAGAGAAGGGAGAGATTGAAGGATGGTGCCAAGACTGAATGGAGAAAGAGGTTGAGGGATAGTGAGAGAGGTTGGAGAAGAGAGTAAAAAGAGGCCGCTTACCCGATTTAAAATTGGTGAGATGTTCCTTGGGCTGGTTGGTCCGAAGACCCAAGGTCGTGGTGGATCTTTCTCCTGGAGCAAAGAGCAGGAGGACAGGGGATTGATCTCCCAAGGAAGGGCCCCCAATCCAAGTCACAGCACAAAATGTCACGCGCATCAATGTGAAGAGAGTCCACCAACAGGCTTTGTGTGAGCAATAAAGCTGTTTATTTCACCTCAGTGCAGGTGGGCTGAGTCTGAAAAAAGAGTTAGCAAAGGGTGGTGGGATTATCATTAGTTCTTATAGGGATAGGCATACAAAGTACATTCTTAAGAGCAGGGGAGAATATTACAAAGTACCTTCTTTTTTTTTTTTTTTTTTTTTTTTTTTGAGACAGAGTCTTGCTCTGTCGCCCAGGCTGGAGTGCAGTAACGTGATCTCGGCTCACTGCCACCTCGGCCCCCCAGGTTCACGCCATTCTCCTGCCTCAGCCTTCTGAGTAGCTGGGATTACAGGCGCCCGCCACCACGCCCGGCTAATTTTTTGTATTTTTAGTAGAGACGGGGTTTCACCATGTTAGCCAGGATGGTCTCGATCTCCTGACCTTGGGATCTGCCTGCCTTGGCCTCCCAAAGTGCTGGGATTACAGGCTTGAGCCACCACGCCTGGCCACAAATTACCTTCTTAAGGGCAGGGGAGAATATATTGTATCAGTTAGGGTGTGGCAGGAACAAATCACAATGGTGGAATGTCATCAGTTAAGGCTATTTTCACTTCTTTTGTGGATCTTCAGTTGCTTCAGGCCATCTGGATGTATACGTGCAGGTCACACGGGATATGATGGCTTCGCTTGGGCTCAGAGGCCTGACAGTATCTGTGGGTGCTGTATCTGTGGATTCTACATCCATGGACTCAACCAAGCACAGAAAAATCATATTTGAAGGGTCATGCACGGTGGCTCACACCTGTAATGTCAGCACTTTGGGAAGCTGAGGCAGGAGGATCGCTTAAGGCCCAGAGTTTGAGACCAGCTTGGGCAACATAGCAAGACCCCATCTGGGCAACACAGCAAGACCCCATCTCTACCAAAAAAAAAAAAAAAAAGCCAGGCATGGTGGTGCATTCCTGTAGTCTCAACAACTTGGGAGGCTGAGGTAAGAGAATCATTGGAACTCAGGAGTTCAAGGCTGCAGTGAACTATTGTTGGTGCCACTGCACTCCAGGCTGGGTGACAGAGTGAGACTCTGTCTCCAGAAAAAAAAAAATTGGAAAAAATTGAAAAAATCATTGTGCCGTACTGAACACGTACCCTTTTCCTTGTCATTCTCTCCCAAACAATACAGCATAAAAACTATTTACATAGCATTTAGATTGTATTACATATTATGTGTAAAATCTAGAGATTTAAAGTATATGGGAGGATGTGGGTAAGTTATATGCAAATACTATGCCATTTTATATCAGGGACTTGAGCATGCATGGATTTTGGCACCCAAGGAAGGTCCTGGAACCAATCCCCCACAGATACTGAGGGCTGACTGCACAATGTTTAGCACACAAGCTTTAACTCTCCCACTGCCTGGCCCTTGGCAGGCCTGACTAGTTGATCGCAGAACTCTTTCCAGGTGAGCTCCTATGCAACCACTACTGATAGATCAGAACGGAAGCCTATTTCCCTCCTAATGAAACTCAGATCTAAATTATTGAACAGGCAAATCTTTTTCAAGGGAAAAGGACCAATGCTTGCAATAAATTCCATCTATGTTGACTACAGGGAGGTCAATTCTAAGAATGTATTTTCTTTTTTTGTTTTTTGAGACAGAGTCTTGCATTGTCACCCGGGCTGGAGTGCAATGGCATGATCTCGGCTCACTGAAACCTCCGCCTCCCGGGTTCAAGCCATTCTCCTGTCTCAGCCTCCCATGTAGCAGGGATTACAGGTGCCCACCAGCATGCCCAGCTAATTTTTATATTTTTAGTAGAGACGGGGTTTCACTATGTTGGCCAGGCTGGTCTTAAACTCCTGACCTCGTGATCCGCCTGCTTCTGCCTCCCAAAGTGCTGGGATTACAGGCGTGAGCCACCGTGCCCCGCCTCTAAGAGTGTATTTTCTATTTGATCAAATAAGAGGAAGCCTCAGGGGATCTTGTGGTACATCCTGTGACAAAATGGGATAATCACTGACCTGGAACTGGGAGTCCTGCTCTGTTCTGGGCAAAATGACTAACTTCCTTATTTTGTATGGGGGGTTACTATGCATGTTAAGTGATCTTAAGAAAGTGAGTGGATTAGTGAGGGTTCTCTAGAGGGACAGAACTAACAGGATAGATGTATGTATGAAACAGTTTTTTTTTAAATTATTTTTTATTTTTCTCAGACTGAGTCTCACTCTGTCACCCAGGCTGGAGTGCAATGGCGCAATCTCAGCTCACTGCAACCTCCACCTCCTGGGTTCAAGTGATTCTCCCACCTTGGCCTTCCAAGTAGCTGGGATTACAGGCACCCACCATCATGCCCGACTAATTTCTGTATTTCTGTAGAGACAGGGTTTCACCATGTTGGCCAGGCTGGTCTTGAACCTCTGACCTCAGGTGATCTGCCTGCCTCGCCTTCCCAAAGTGCTGGGATTACAGGCATGAGCCACCGTGCGCGGCCGAAAGGGAGTTTATTAGGGAGAATTGACTCACACCATCACTAGGTGAAGTCCCATGATAGGCTGGCTGCAAGCTGAGGAGCAAAGAAGCCAGTAGAGGCTCAGTCCCCAGAACTGCAAAAGTAGGGAAGCTGACAGCGCAGCCTTCAGTCTGTGGCCAAAGGCTGGGGAGCCCCTGGCAAACCACTATGTTGTCCAAGAGTCGAAAGGCTGAAGTGCTGGGATGACAGGTGTGAGCCACTGCGCCCAGCCTTTATTCATTTATTTATTTATTTATTTATTTTAGAGGCAGGGTCTCACTATGTTGTCCAGGCTGGAGTGTGGTGGCTATTCATAGGCAGGATCCCACTGCTGATCGGCACAGGAGTTTTGACCTGCTTCATTTCTGACCTGGGTCGGTTCACCCCTCTTTAAGCAACCTGCTGGTCCCCCGCTCCTGGGAGGTCACCATATTAATGCTGAACATAGTGTGGACACCCGGTTGGCACAGTGCACTACAGCCCAGAACTCCTGGGCTCAAGCCATCCTCCTGCTTGAGCCTCCTGTGTAGTTAGGACTACAGGTGTGCGCCATTGTGCCCAGCCTCGTGGAGTTTTAAATGGGGGGCCATGGTGAGCGGTTCCCAGAACCTGGAGGGAGAGTGTCTTTCTCTGGTGGCAAAAGCAGTAAAAAAGGAGACAATGGACAAGGTTATGGGCTGCAGACCGAACCCATAATCAGCATCTGCCAAGTCTAGTCTCAGCTGCTGGGGCCCTGACACCTGCAGAGATGGTCCCACTGCACCTGTACAGATGGTCTCCAACTTCCAATGCTTCCATTCTGGATTTTTCAACTTTGTGATTGGTTTATTAGGATGTAGCCCCAACCTAAGTCAAAGAACTCCTTATGACTTACGATGGGGTTATGGTTTCTACTGAAAGTGTAATGCTTTCACACCATCATAAAGTTGAAACATCTGAAATCAAACCATTATCAGTCGGGGGACTGTCTGCTGTGCTGTCCACATTAAATGCATTTTCCACATACAACAGGTTTATGGGGCTGTAGCCCCTTGCGAATCGAGGAGCATCTGTATTACTTCCTATTTCAGTTGTTTCTCTTGGCAACCCCTTCTCTTTTCCTCTCAGACTGGCTGTTACACGCCTCCTCCACTATCCTCAGTCCCCCAACTACTCATTCCCTCACCCTCTGCCACCTCCTTCGAGAAAATACAGGCCACAAGGCAGGAGCCATCTAGCTCCCACCAAACCAGGAGGGCAGGGGAGTGTTCTCTGGTCTGGGACTTCGATCCCCCTACATCTATGGTGTCAGCCATCACTGTCCTCTTGCTAGCATCTTCAGCCTCACCTCTACTAGCTCCCTTTCCTCAGCATAGAAATCTGCTAAGGGCATTCCCAGCTTAAAACAAAACTAAACTAAAACTAAGGCCTGGTGCCTTAGTTTAGTTTTTAAAAAAACACAGTTTCGGCAGGGCGCAGTGGCTCACGCCTGTAATCCCAACACTGTGGGAGGCTGAGGCAGGTGGATCGCTTGAGGTCAGGAGTTTGAGACCAGCCTGGCCAACATGGTGAAACCCCGTCTCTACTAATACAAAAAATAGCCAGGCATGGTGGCATGTGCCTGTAATCCCAGCTACTTGGGAGGCTGAGGTACAAGAATTGCTTGAATCTGGGAGGTGGAGGTTGCAGTGAGCCAAGATGGTACCACTACACCCCAGCCTGGGCGACAGAGTGAAACTGTGTTTATGTTTGTTTTTTTTGTTTGTTTGTTTTTTTTTGAGACGGAGTCTCGCTGTGTTGCCAGGCTGGAGTGCAGTGGCAGGATCTCGGCTCACTGCAACCTCTGCCTCCCAGGTTCAAACAATTCCCCTGCCTCAGTTTCCCGAGTAGCTGGGACTACAGGCATGCACCACCACTCCTGGCTAATTTATTTTATTTTATTTTAGTAGAGATGGGGTTTCACCATGTTGGCCGGGGTAGTCTTGATCTCCTGACCTTGTGATCTCCCCGCCTTGGCGTCCCAAAGTGCTGGGATTACAGGCGTGAGCCACCGCGCCCTGCCGAAACTGTGTTTTTTAAAAAACAAAAACAAAAACAAAAAGCTAAAACTAAAACCCAAATCCCAAAAGCCCTTCTTCCACCTAGTGTCTCTCTCCGTCTTTCTCCTTCTTGGAAGGGAAGTCTACACTGGCTGGCCCTACTTTGTGACCTCCCTGCCTTTCCTCCACCCACCTATGGGGTCTCCTGCCTTCCCTGCTACAGCCTCCTCACCCACTGGCAAAGAAATGAAGAAACAGACCCTGCCTGGCTCACTGATGGCCTCTTGATTGCCAGATCCCTGGGACACCTTCCGGTGCTCGTTGACTTGTCCACTTCGGAGCTTCCCCCGCACAGTCATCCCCTGGACACCTCTCTCCTGGGACATCTTGCACTTTGTGGGACAGCACCTTCTCTGTCTCCTCTTAGGGGCTCTTAGGTCCTTGTGTCCTCCAGGGTCTTGTCAACGATCCGTCCTCATAGCACACTCTCTCCTTCAGCAAACTTATCAGACTCATGGCTTCTACTACTGCCTCTGTGCTGAGAATGTTTAGTAATAAGCAACATGTCAAAGATGCAAAATAATCACGTGTGGAACAAGGATACTGTGTAAAGAAAGACAGTTGAAGGAAAAAGAAAAAACACTGATAGGCCGGGTGCAGTGGCTCCCACCTGTAATCGCAGTACTTTGGGGGTCTGAGGTGGGCCGATCACAAGGTCAGGAGTTTGAGACCAGCCTGGCCAACATGGTGAAACCCCATCTCTACTAAAAATACAAAAAAAAAAAAAATAGCTGGGTGTGGTGGTGTGTGCCTGTAATCCCAGCCACTTAGCAGGCTGAGGCAGGAGAACCGCTTGAACCTGGGAGGTGGAGATTGCAGTGAGTCAAGATCGCGACGCGGCACTCCAGCCTGGGCAACAAAAGAGCGAAAATTCCATCTAAAAAAAAAAAAAAAGGGCCAGGCACGGTGGCTCATGCCTGTAATCCCAACACTTTGGGATGCCAAGGTAGGTAGATCACCTGAGGTTGAGGTCAGGAGTTTGAGACCAGCCTGGCCAACATGGTGAAACTCTGTCTCTACTAAAAATACAAAAATTTGGCCGGGCGCGGTGGCTGACCTGTAATCCCAGCACTTTGAAAGGCCGAGGCGGGCGGAACATGAGGTCAGGAGATCAAGACCATCCTGGCTAACGCGGTGAAATCCCGTCTCTACTAAAAATACAAAAAATTAGCCAGGCGTGGTGGCGGGCACCTGTAGTCCCAGCTACTTGGGAGGCTGAGGCAGGAGAATGGCGTGAACCTGGGAGGAGGAGCTTGCAGGGAGCCAAGATCACACCACTGCACTCCAGCCTGGGCAACAGAGCGAGACTGTGTCTCAAAATAAAATAAAATAAAATAAAAATACAAAAATTTGTTGGGCATGGTAGCGGGTGCCTATAATTCCAGCTACTTGAGAGGCTGAGGCAGGAGAATCACTTGAATCTGGGAGGTGGAGGTTGCAGTGAGCTAAGATTGCACCATTGCACTCCAGCCTGGGCAACAGGAGCAAAACTCCATCTCAAAAAAAAAAAAAAAAAAAGTAAAAGAAAAAACACTGATTAAGACACTTGGGTTCCCCAGACAGTCCTTCTATATGACTGTGGGCAAGTTAACATACCACCCCAAGTCTTGGACTTCTCATCTACAGAACTGGGATAAAAATAGTACCTACTTCATAGGGTTGTTATGAGGATTAAATAGGATAATTCTAGAGCAAGCACTCCGTGCGTGAAGTTGCCAACATTATTTATGACTGTCTCTGTTGTCACTTGCAGGGGTAGAGAAGCAATGGGCAGAAGTGAGATGAAACTAAGAAATGGTAGTTTGGATCCAGGTTTTGAAATACACGAGGGCAGTGGACTTCTAGGGTCTGTTGGCCAAGGCATTCCTAATTAGAGAATGCAAGTATCAAGGGGCTGTGAGCCTAGGAGCAGGCAGCCCCTTCCTAAGGCTGCTGCTCTCTTTCTAGCCATCTGGACGACCTTGTGAGCACCTGACAGGGTGCATTCGGCAAGTGGCTGGCCAGCAAGTGGCTGGCCAGGATGCCCTACGTGCACGTCCCGGCATTCCTGAAATAGCCGCCCTGCAGTGGGGGGAGGTGCTGGTGGATGAGAATGTTAAACAGCTTGGAGCCTGGAAGGGAAAAGGTCACCTCTGGGGCTGTGTCCTCCAGGAGGGGGACACAATTGCCAGAGGAAGGAGTCCCTAAGAAGGATATTGAAGCTGCCCTAAGCTCTTGTGCAGTTGCCACGTCCTGGGCTATACTCCACAAGATCCAAAAGGAGACATGGGGTGGCTGGAGTGGTGTCTGGAGCCAGCTTGTACAGGCTCATGAGAGCCAACTGTTAAATTCTCAAGAATTTTGCAAGCCAGTTGTTACACATAGCCATTATTAAAAATTAAGTTATATAAACTTATGATTATATTAAAAGACTCAAACTCATCACTTTCTAATTATTTTACTATATTTTACTAGTATCTATGCATTTGAGGACATTTATGTCTGTTGCATCTATATGGTGGAAATATTATAGATGGAAATATACAACTCTGTTCAGTGATGCTGTGTTGGTAGTTTGAAATTGGCCATGGTGGAAATATTTACACTACCGAAATCAGCAAATGCTACAAGTTAGCAAACACACACACACACATACACACACACACACCCCCCGCACTGGAGCTGGTTGTTAAACATTTGCCAGCACCTCATTGGACAAACTGATTTCTTTCTTTTTTTTTCCCCCGAGACGGAATCTTGCTCTGTCACCCAGGCTGGAGGGCAGTGGAGCCTTTTTGGCTCAGTGCAACCTCCGCCTCCTGGGTTCAAGTGATTCTCTTGCCTTAGCCTACCAAGTAGCTGGGATTACAGGCACGTGCCACCATCCCTGGCTAATTTTTGTATTTTTTAATAGAGATGGGGTTTCACCATGTTGGCCAGGCTGGTCTTGAACTCCTGACCTCATGTGATCCACCAACCCTGGCCTTGCAAAGTGCTGGGATTACAGGCGTGAGCCACTGCACCTGGCCCAAACAAACTGATTTCTAGGAAGTTTGTTGTTAGCCATTTCTTGTGAGTTTCAGTATTAGCCATCTGCCCCACATGAACAGCGCCTGAGTTCCACTGCAGTTTTTTGGGTCTCCCTAACCCAATATCTGAGTGAGCTACCTTACACGTCCCGATCTCACTAGTCCTACCCCAGCCAGAGATGAGAATGATGGTGGCCATTATTCATCACTTATCACATGTTGCGTCCATCTTCAGTTGAGTTTTGTTTTTTGTTTTTTGTTTTTTTTGAGACACAATTGTATTCTGCCGCCCAGGCTGGACTGCAGTGCAGTTGTGCAGTCTCAGCTCACTGCAACCTCCACCTCCCAAGTTCAAGCAATTTTCCTGCCTCAGCCTCCCCAGTAGCTGGGATTACAGGCACATGGCACCATGCCAGGCTAATTTTAGTATTTTTAGTAGAGAAGGTTTCACCATGTTGGCCAGGCTGGTCTTGAACTGCCGAGCTCAAGTGATCCACCCTCCTTGGCCTCCCAAAGTGCTGGGATTATAGGCATGAGCCACCACACCCAGCCAGCTGAGTACTATTTATTTATTACTATTATTTTTTGAGACGGAGTTTCGCTCTTGTTGCCCAGGCTGGAGTGCAATGGTGCTATCTCAGCTCACTGCAACCTCCACCTCCTGGGTTCAAGCAATTCTTCTGCCTCAGCCTCCCGAATAGCTGGGATTACAGGTGTGCATCACTACGCTTGGCTAATTTTTGTATTTTTAGTAGAGACGGGGTTTCACCATGTTGGCCATGCTGGTCTTAAACTACTGACTTCAGGTGATCTACCCGTCTTGGCCTCCCAAAGTGCTGGGATTACAGGCATGAACCACCGCACCCAGCCAGCTGAGTATATTTTAACCAGCACATTACTATGAGGTTGGTACTAAGCTGTTACTCTACCCATTTTACAGATGATGATAAAGTGAGCCACGGAGAAGTCTGGAAACTCTCCCAAGGCAACCAGCTAGGACAAGGTTGGAGGCCTCACTTAATCACTAGCTCTACTGATAAACAATAATCTGATCATCTGATAAGGGAATTTAATTAAGTGGTTCAATTGCCACTCCTTCATGCTGCCAACCCTGACTACAGCTTTTAAACACCACAGGGCATTGTTTCATGTAGTTTTATTGTTCTTAGTCACAGTAGATAAAACTGTGGACTCTCAAAATGTGACCTATCCTAGGTCTTTAGGAGACTTTTATGAGTAAATAAGACTGTTCTAGAGTTAATGATCCACTATTTCAGTTGATGTAGGGCTTCTAACTCAATCAATTAGGGGTTGAGATCCAACTATGAAACTAACTCAGTTCAAGACCTGGCCATCTCCCATAAGAGCTAAAGCCTAGAGAGTAAAATTATTGTCAAAAGTTACATAGTTCAGCCACGTGCGGTGGCTCATGCCTGTAATCCCAGCACTTTGGGAGGCTGAGGCGGGCAGATCACCTGAGGTCAAGAGTTAGAGAACAGCCTGACCAACACGGAGATACCTTGTCTCTCCTAAAAATGCAAAATTAGCCAAGCGTGGTGGTGCATGCCTGTAATCCCAGCTACTCAGGAGGCTGAGGCAGGAAATCGCTTGAACCTGGGAGGCGGAGGTTGTGGTGAGCCGAGATCGCGCCATTGCACTCCAGCCTGGGCAACAAGAGTGAAACTCCGTCTCAAAAAAAAAGGTAAAAGTTACATAGTTCCTAAGAGGTGAGGACAGAATATTAACCTGACTGATTCCAGAGCCCCTGCTCCAGTGAGAGGAATATAATGGACTATTAGGCTGCTAGTAAAAAAACAAAACAAAACAAAACAAAACCTTGGGAGAAATGATAGTCAAAGGGTACAAATCCTCAATTAGACAGGAGGAATAAGTTTTTTTCTTTGAGATATATTGCACAGCATGGTGAATATAGTAAATAATAATGTGCTGTACATTTCAAAGTCACTAAGTGTAAATCTCAAATGTTCTCACTACAAAAATTATAAGAATTTGAGGTAACAGATATGTTAATTAGCTTGATTTAATTTTTCTACATTGTATTCATAAATCATAACATCACTTTGGTTTTTGTTTTTTTTTTTTAAGAGATGGGGGTTTCACAATATTGCCCAGGCTAGTCTTGAATTCCTGAACTCAAGCAATCCTCCCACCTTGGCCTCCCAAAGTGCTTAAGTTACTGGTGCCCAGCCCATAACATCACTTTGTAACCCATAGCATATACAATGGTAATTTGCCAATTTACAATTTAAAAATATGTTGTAGAAGAATATTTAATGGCAAAGAAAAATGCCCTAAAGTGTTAAGTAACAGATGAGGGCTAAAAAAATAACTTTTATCAATTCTTGAGAACACATTGTTTTTCACATTTAAACATACCTGAAATCAGGGTGGATACAAATCAATTCTAGATTAATTATAGGTATCATTGTAAAAGTTTTAAAAAAGCCTAAAGCTTCTGTACTTTAGGAAGATACTATAGAAGTTTTTTGTTTGTTTGTTTGTTTGTTTGTTTTGAGACAGAGTCTCACTCTGTTGCCCAGGCTGGAGTGCAATGGCGAAATCTTGGCTCACTGCAACTCCACCTCCTGGGTTCAAGCGATTCTCCTGCCTCAGCCTCCCGAGTAGCTGGGACTTCAGGCACATGCCACCACGCCCGGCTAATTTTTTGTGTTTTTAGTACAGATGGGGTTCCACTGTGTTAGCTAGGATGGTCTCGATCTCCTGACCTCGTGATCCGCCCACCTCGGCCTCCCAAAGTGTTGGGATTACAGGTGTGAGCCACCACGCCCGGCCTATAGGAGTTTTCAAAAAGGCATAAGTCTTCTAGAAGATACTATAGGAGAATACTTTCACAATCTTGGGATAGGAAAAGATTTATTACATAGGACATAGAAATAATAAACATAAAAGATATGTTGACAGAGCGTGGTGGCTCACACCTGTAATCCCAGCACTTTGGGAGGCCAAGACAGGTGGATCGCCTGAGGTCAGGAGTTTGAGACCAGCCTGGCCAACATGGTGAAACCCTGTCTCTACTAAAAATATAAAAATTAGCTGGGCGTGGTGACAAATGCCTGTAATTCCAGCTATTCTGGAGGCTGAGACAGGAGAATCACTTGAACCTGGGAGGCAGAGGTTGCAGTGAGCTGAGATCATGCCACTGCACTCCAGCCTGGGCAACAGAGCAAGACTCCATCTCAAAAAACAAACAAACAAACAAATAAACAAAAGATATGTCGACCTAGAGGAAAAAACTGAGGGAAAATCATTTATACAAATAGAGAGTTTATTTGGGCCAAGTTGAGGACTGCAACCTGGGAGCACAGATTCAAGTTGCCCTGAATAAATGCTCCAATTAGCAATATTTACAGATGGGTTTTTAAAGGAAAAAAGGAGAAGCAGTCCCTAAATGGTCTACCAAGAATTTACATTAAAATAATATAAGCTATTGATTGGCTATCCATTGATTTTTTTTGTATCAGGAATTCCAGGACATGAAGATAACAGATAAGGAAAAAAAAAAAAAAAAAAGGCCTTTAAACAGGTGCCCCAGGCCTGAATGTGGGAGGGCCTGGGGAGCTGTGACTGAAGTCCCATACTCAAGTCTCTCTGGGCCTGATCAATTTTGTATACAATTTCACATAGCTCAGACTGTTCTGAGCTATTTTTCTTTTCTCAGGTCAATAAGTTGGACTACATTAAAATTAAGAGTTTTTGTGCATCGAAAGATGTGTTAAAAAAATAAAGCAAGCCATTGAGTAAGAGGACATTTGCAACACATACATCCAAAAAGGAGACTCTGGGCGTGGTGGCTCATGCCTGTAATCCCAGCACTTTGGGAGGCTGAGGCAGGTGGGTCACTTGAGGTTAGGAGTTCGAGACCAGCCTGACCAACATGGTGAAACCCCATCTCTACCAAAAAAAAAAAAAAAAAAAAAAAAAAAAATTAGCTGGGCATGGTTGCGTGTGCCTGTAATTCCAACTACTTGGGAGGCTGAGGCAGGAGAATTACTTGAGTAACCTGAGAGATGGAGGTTGCAGTGAGCTGAGATCACGCCACTGTACTCCAGCCTGGGTGACAGAGCAAGACTCTGTCTCAAAATAAATAAATAAATACATAAATAAGGAGACTCATATCAAAATGTATATCAAGGCTGGGCGTGGTGGCTTATGCCTGTAATCCCAGCACTTTGGGAGGCCGAGGCAGCAGATTACCTGAGGTCAGGAGTTCAAAACCAGCCTGGCCAACATGGCAAAACCCGTCTCTATTAAAAATACAAAAACTAGCTGGGGGTGGTGGTGCACATCTGTAATCCCAGCTACTCAGGAGGCTGAGGCAGGAGAATTGCTTGAATCTGAGAGGCAGAGGTTGCAGTGAGCTGAGATCGCGCCACTGCACTCCAGCCTGGGTAACAGAGCGAGACTCCGTCAAAAAAAAAAAAAAAAGAAAAAAGAAAAAAAATGTATATCGAACTCCTACAAATCACAAACAAGCAGAAAAGCCAATGGAAAAACAGGCAAAAGATTTGAAACAGGTGCTTCACGAGAGAATATCCAAATAGCTAATAAGCATATGAAAAGGAACTCAATCTCATTAGTCCCCAGGGAAATGCAATTTAAAAATCGCACTGAGCTCCCACTACACCCACCAGAATAACTAAAGCTGAAAAGAATGACAATGCTGTTATCAGTGCTGTAGAGAAACTGAAACTCTCATACTTTGCTGGTAGAATATAAATTAGACAATCAATTTGAAAAGTTGGCAGTGTCTATTAAAACTGAACACTTTATATATGTATGTGTACGTCCTATGACCCAGTAATTCACTCATAAGTATTATTCCACAGAATTTTGTATATATGTACAGAAGATAAGTGTAAGAACGTTCATAGAAGCATCGTTAGTAATAGCCCCAAACTGTAAACACCCGATGTTCATCAATAGTAGAATGCAAATAGTAGAAATAAATTATGGCAGGTTCATAAAATGCAACTTTAGATAGCAACGGAATTAGTAAATTACAGCTACATGCAAAAACATGAATGAAGTTTATAATGTAATGTTGAGAAAAAGACACAACAGAGTATATACTGTATGACTTTATTTACACAAAAATAAAAATGGGCAAAATCAATCATTTTAGTAGAAGTTAGGATAGTAGTAGTGACCTTTGGGGAATTTGGAAAAATAATGTCTAAGAGAGAACTTAAGGATGGTTTCTGGGTTGCAGGTAATGTTGTTTTCTTTTCTTTTTTGAGACGGAGTCTCGCTCTGTCGCCCAGGCTGGAGTACAGCGCGATCTTGGCTCACTGCAACCTCCGCCTCCCAGGTTCAAGCGACTCTCCTGTCTCAGCCTTTAGGGCCTCACCTCTTAATACCATCTCACTGGCCATTGATTTTTTTTTTTTTTTTTTTTTGAGATGGAGTCTTGCTCTGTTGACCAGGCTAGAGTGCAGTGGCAGGATCTCGGGTCACTGCAACCTCCGCCTCCCGGGTTCAAGTGATTCTCCTGCCTCAGCCTCCAGAGTACCTGAGATTACAGGCATGCACCATGACTCCTGGCTATTTTTTTTTGTATTTTTAGTAGAAACGGGGTTTTGCCATGTTGGCCAGTCTGGTCTTGAACTCCTGACCTCAAGTAATCTGCCCGCCTTGGCCTCCCAAAGTGCTGGGATTACAGGTGTGAGCCACCACGCCTGGCCCAGCCATTAAATTTTAATACATGAATTCTGTGAGACATTTAGACCTTAGCAGTGAGAGTAAAATAAAACAAGTTGAAACAGAGAAACTTAATTCTCACAGACTTTTGTTAAAAGACCTGTTGAATGACACCTTTCAGTTATTAGGAAATTGAACCCAGGAGGCAGGAGTGAAATTCAAGACACAATGCTGAGTAAAGAAACTGGCATGGCTGGGTGGCTCACACCTGTAATCCCAGCACTTTTGGGAAGCTGAGGTGGGAAGATCCCTTGAACCCAGGAGTTTGAGACCAGCCTGGGCAACATAGGAAGACCCCTGTCTCTATGAAAAAAGAAAGAAAGGTGCAAACATGTTTATACATCTACTTGAAAAGAAAAATGAGGAGGCTTAGAACTCCCACTGGAACTAAAATATTATGGACTAATAACATGAAAGATGGGAGAATTGGAGAGAAATAATCTAAGTTTCTCATATTTTTAAGAAGGATAAATAAAATAATGAGTTTTAAACTTTGTAAAGTCAAGAATTTAATTTTTCCTTCCCTTCCCTTTCCCTTTTTCTTTTCTTTCTCCTTCCTCCCTTCCTTCCTTCCTTCTTTCCTTTCCTCCCTCCCTTCCTCCCTCCCTCTTTCTCTTTCTTTCTTTTCTTTTCTTTCCTTCTTTCCTTCTCTCTCTCTCTTTCTTTTTCTTTTTTTTCTTTCTGATACAGGGTCTTGCTCTGCCACCCAGGCTAGAGTGTAGTGGTGTGATCATGGCTTACTGCCACCTTGACCTGAGCTCAAGGGATCCCCCTGCCTCAGCCTCCTGAGTAGCTACAGGTGTGTGCCATCACATCTGGCTAATTGTTTTTCAATTTTGGTAGAGATAGGGTCTTGCTATGCTGCCCAGGCTGGTCTCAAACTCCTGGCTTCAAGTGATACTCCTGCCTCAGCTTCCCAAAGTGCTGAGATTATAGATGTGGGTTCCCAAGTCTGAATTTAATTTCTAAACAGGTAGAAATAGAACATATCATTTCCATACCAGTAAGGGAGGTAGAGGAGAATAAAGAAATCTTGGCTGATCCGATAGAAAGCTTAAAAGGATGTGAAAAGAAGCAAAAGAAGGCCAGGCGTGGTAACATGGGCGTATAGTCCCAACTACTTGGGAGCCTGAGGTGGGAGGATCCCTTGACCTAGAAGCCTGAAGTTGCAGTGAGCTACGGTCACACCACTGCACTCCAACCTGGCCAACAGAGTGAGACCTTGTCTCCAAAATAAATAAATAAATAGATAAGCAAAAGAAAAGCATGGCAAATAGAAAGTACAAAATAAAGTGATAGAAATGTAAAAAATATTCAGCAATCTCCATAAATGTGAACAGTGTAAATATGTTTATAAAAGACAAAGACTTTCAGCTGGGCACAGTGGTTCACGGCTATAATCCCAGCACTTTGGGAGGCCGAGGTAGGCAGATCACGAAGTCAGGAGTTTGAGGCTAGCCTGGCCAACATGGTGAAACCCCATCTCTACTAAAACTACAAAAATTAGCTGGGCCTGGTGGTTCGTACCTGTAATCCCAGCTACTGGGGAGGCTGAGGCAGGAGAATCACTTGAACCTTGGAGGCGGAGATTGCAGTGAGCCGAGCTTGTGCCACTGCACTCCAGCCTGGGCAAGAGAGCAAGACTCCATCTCAAAAAAAAAAAAAAAAAGACAGACTTTCAAAGTATGTTACAAAACCAAAACTCAGCTATGTGTGGATACACATAAAATATGTAACATAAAAAATTAAAAGTAAAAGGCATGAAAAAAGTTGTATCAGGCAAATACGGACCAAAGTAAAGCTGGTGTAGCAATATACAATAGTTCAAAATAAATCTTAAGGCAAAACGCAAGTTTAGGTATAAAGAGAATCATTATTTAATGATAAAAGGAGTAATTTACTAGAAAAATATAACAGGTATGAGCATAACACTTAAGAAAACTTCATAATATATATAGCACAAATGGATGGAATTACCAAGAGGAATGAACACATCCACAATCACACTGGGCAGTCTTAACACCTCTCTTAGAAACAAATAGCTTATAAAAACTTACAAGAACATAGATTTCAGTGGCGCTACTTGGGAGGCTGAGGTGGAAGGATTGCTTGAGCCCAGGAGGTCAAGGCTGCAATGAGCTGTGATCGTATCACTGCACTCTAATGCATCTCCCCCTGCCAAAAAAAAAAAAAAAAAAAAAAAATCGGAAAAGATTGGGTGTAGTGGCTCACACCTGTAATCCTAACACTTTGGGAGGCTGAAGTGGGAGGATTGCTTGAGTCCAGGAGTTCAAGACCAGCCTGGACAACATAGCAAGACCTTGTCTCTGCTAAAAAACAAAACAAATCAACAACAACAACAAAAAGAATACCTAGGGCTGGATGCGGTGGCTCACACCTGTAATCCCAGCACTTTGGGAGGCCAAGGTGGGCAGATCACCTGAGGTCATGAGTTCGAGACTAGCCTGGCCAAAATAGGCAAACCCTGTCTCTACTAAAAATACAAAAATTAGCCAGGCATGGTGGCGCATGCCTGTAATCCCAGCTACTCAGAGACTGAGGCAGGAGAATCACTTTAACCTGGGAGGCAGAGGTTGCAGTGAGCCGAGATCGGGCCACTGCACTCTAGCCTGGGTGACAGAGCGAGACTCCATCTCAGAAAAAAAATATATAAATCAAATAAAAAATAAATAAAAGAATACCTAGAACTGGGTGTGGTGGTATGAACCTGTAGTCCCAGCCACTTGGGAGGCTGAGGCAGGAAGATTAATTGAGCCCAGGAATTCAAGCCCAGCCTGGGCAACATAGCAAGGCTCTATCTCTTAAAACACAAACAAAGGCCAGGTGCAGTGGCTCACGCCTGTAATCCCAGCACTTTGGGATGCTGAGGTGGGAGGATTGCCTGGGTCCAGGTGGTCGAGGCTGCAGTGAGCCGAGATCATGCCACTGCACTCCAGCCTGGGTGATAGAGTGAGACCTTATGTCAAACAACAACAAAACCAAAACACCTGGAACTTACACATTTGACCACACATTGGACCACCAAAGAAGAGTCAATACATGTCAAAGAGGACAAATTATAAACTAACAAAGACTTCCCTTTGGCCAAAACTTCAGTCAGCCTCCTCTGAGTCCTCTGCCTCCATAGGCCTGACCTCGGGCTTCCCTCTCTATCTTTGTAGAATCCAGTTTGAGCAAATGACCAGCTAAGTCAGTTTAACAAAATCTAGGCCAGGCACGGTGGCTTGCGCCTGTAATCCTAGCACTTTGGGAGGCCAAGGTGGGTGCATCAGCCTGGGCAACATAGCGAAAACCCATCTGTATAAAAAATACAAAAAAATTAGGATGCATGCCTGTGGTCCCAGCGATTCGGAGGCTGAGGCAGGAGGATCGCCTGAGTCCAGGTGGTCGAGGCCGCAGTGAGCCGAGAACGTGTCACTGCACTCCAGCCTGGGTGACAGAGTGAGACCCTGTCTCAATAAAAAAGAAAGAAAGAAGAAAGAAAGGAAAGGAAAAGAACAAGGAAAGGGGAAATTAAAGGAAAGGAAAGGAAGGAAGGAAGGAAAAAAGAAGGAAGGCAGGCCCCAACCTTGGTATCTGACCCCCTTTGATATCTTATCACCCTGGCCTGCCTTCAGCAATAATGCTATCAGTCAGTTTAGCCAGAACAGAAGCCCTTTTATCCTCGATGTTTCTTTTTAGTAGTTTTCCATCCACTGATACTCAACCCCCCGCTCCTTGGTTATAGATCCCCACTTGTCCTTGTTGGAGTTGGAGTTGAGTCCACTCTCTCCCCCACTACAAGACCCCATCACAGTGGTCCCTAAACCTATCACCATAGCTCACCTTGGATAAAACCTGCCTTGCCATCTTTAACAAGCATCATGAATCATTTTTTCTTTAGCAAGACCCAGTGCAATAAAACATAAAATCACTATCAAAAAGACAGCTCCTAAATCCTATGTGTTTGTAATTTAAAAATATGTTTACATTAATTATTGGGACAATTTGGGAAAACTTAATATGGACTATATATTATACGGTATATTAAATAAAAATTATAGAAGCCCATTATTTTGGACAAAGTTCCTGGGCTAGGCCCTAACAGACCAGACTGAAAATCAAAATGGAGTCACCCATGCTACAGTTCCATTTTCACCACACCTACAATAAATTGTTGGTTGACCTTTGAAGAAATCAGAAGGAAGAGACAGCGGATTTCCCAAACAGATCTGTTTAAATCTTTACTTGATATAATAAAGTCCTTACACAAAAAAAGTAACCTAAAATAATCTGCTGTTAACTAATCAGTTATTTTTATTTTGTTCTGTCTTCCTTTCCCTGCCTTACAAGAAACAGTAATTTGATTTTATTTTAATGAATTTATTTATTTAGAGATGGAGTCTCGCTCTGTCGCCCAGGCTGGAGTGCAATGGTGCAATCTCAGCTCACTGCAACCTCTGCCTCCCAGGTTCAAGCGATTCTCTTGAATTAGTTCAAGATTCACTTGAATGTGGGAGGCGGAGGTTGCAGTGAGCTGAGATCGCACCACTGCAATCCAGCCTGGGCGAGATTAAGTCTCAAAAAGAAAAGAAAAAGAAAAAGAAAGAAGAATATCTACAAATAAATGAAGTGCACAGTCCAAACCTGTGTTGTTGAAGGCTCAACTGTAATGCACTCTTTGTTCTTTGTTTCTGCTTTCTTCAGCCCTTCTCTGTCTATAGGGCCAATCTCCATGGCCAGGTATGGTGGCTCATGCCTGTAATTCCAGCACTTTGGGAGGCTGAGGCAGGAGGATTGCCTAAGCTCAGGAGTTCAAGACCAGCCTGCACAACATAGTAAGACCTCATCTCTACCAAGAACAAAAAAATCAGCCAGGCATGGTATTGCATGCCTGTAGTCCCAGCTACTGGGGAGGCTGAGGTGGGAGGATCACTTGAGCCCAGGAGATTGAGGTTTCAGTGAGCTGTGATTATGTCACTGCACTCCAGCCTGGGTGACAGAGACCCTGTCTCAAGAAAAAAAAAAAAAAAAGCCAACCTTCTCTGCTCAGCTCATTATAACACTTATTCTGTTTTATGGAATAAAGTGTTGCCTGATTCTAGAATCACACATAAAGGAAATTGAGATCTTTATTATAAATTTATTGTAATTTTGTCTTTTGACATGTATAAATATTAAATATCTTGTGTGTGATAATGTGGCCTCCATTTTTGTTGAGATGCAATTACTCTCTTCTAGTATAATTATTCTCAAATGTTTTTATTTCGGTGTTACCACCCAACAGGTTCTTCTTCCTTGCCACACAGAAAAAGCCAATATGTTGAAACAGAAGGTGTTGCAGTAGAGAAAGAGTTTAATAATCATAGGGTGCTGAGCAAAGAGGACCAGAGATGTTTCTCAAATCCATCTCAACAAGAACTCAGAGGCTAGGGCTTTTAAGGACAATTTGACAGTCAGGGGACTAAGGAATTGGTGCTGCTGATTGGCTGGAGATGAAATAATAGGAATGTTTAAACTGTTTGGTGTGCTGAGTCAGTTTCTGGATGGGGCCACAGGACTGGTGGAGTCAGTCCGTTGGTGTGGGTCATGGGTCTGAGTGAAGTCAGCTGGTCTGCCAGAATGCAAAAGTGTGAGAAATATCTCAGACCAGCCTTAGGTTTACAATAGTGATGTTATCTACAGGAACAACTAGGGAAGTTGCAAATCTTGTGACCTCCAGCAGTTACAAATCTATATGGCTGCTGAGCAGTAAGTGATTATAGAAAAGCAAGTATGTTTACAGGTTAGCATAATTCAGACCCCTCCCATGATTCTAAATTCGAGGTCTTTCATTAGCTTTCCAAACGCGGTTTCAGTCCCAAACATGATGGGGGTTAGTTTTGGGAAAGGATTATTATCATCCTTCTTTTCTTTTCTTTCTTTTCTCTCTCTCGCTCTCTTTTTTTTTTATTTTATTTTTTTGTAGAAACAGGGTCTCACTCTGTTTCCCAGGCTGGTCTCAAACCCCTGGCTTCAAGTGATCCTCTAGCCTCAGCCTCCCAAAGTACTTAGATTACAGGCATGAGCCACTGCGCCAGGCTAACCCTTGCTTTAAGGTTAAACTATAAACAAAATTCGTCCCATACTTAGCTTGGCCTATGCCCAGGAATGAGCAAGGGCAGTTAGCTTGTGAGGTTAGAAGCAAGATGAAGTCAGTTATATTATATTTCTCTCACTGTTGTAATTTTTGCAGAGGTGGTTTTATTGGCATCCTTTTACAGACATTGTTTTTGAGGATTCCAAAGAGGTTTTGCAGTTATGGGTTATATATAAGCATATTTACTGAGTTAAAAGTTAGAAACGAATATGTTTTAGAAATATTTATTTAGGCCGGACGCGATGGCTCATGCCTGTAATCCCAGCACTTCGGGAGGCCGAGATGGGTGGATCACGAGGTCAAAAGATTGAGCCCATCCTGGCCAACATGGTGAAATCCCATCTCTACTAAAAATATAAAAATTAGCTGGACGTGGTGGGACACGCCTGTAGTCCCAGCTACTTGGGAGGCTGAGGCAGGAGAATCGCTTGAATGTGGGAGGCAGAGGTTGCAGTGAGCCGAAATCGTGCCATTGCACTCCAGCCTGGCGACAGAGGGAGACTGCATCTCAAAGAAAGAAAAAAAAAATTTATTTAAAAATAACTACAGTTTCCAAAAAAAACTTCATGAGAAGAATTGCATTGTTTACATTTTTGCAGTTCTCTCAATATCTGACTTAATGAAAGTAGCTGGATTCTCATAGCTGCTTCTGCATTTGTGTTGCTATTATGCTGTTTGGGTTGAAGTATATGAAGAAAACCCAGCCTCACACAGCTGCAAAAGGAAGGCCGGGGCGGGGGGCGGGGCGAGTATTTCATAGTTTTTTCAGATATTGAGAATATAACCATCCCTTGGTATCCATGGAGGATTGTTCCAGAACTTCCTGTGGATACCAAAATCTCAGGATGCTCAAGTCCTTGATATAAAATAGTGTAGTACTTACATATGACCAACAAATATCTGTCTGTATACTTTATTTATTTATTTATTTAGAGACGGAGTCTTGCTCTGTCGCCCAGGCTGGAGTGCAGTGGCAGGATCTCAGCTCACTGCAACCTCCGCCTCCTGGGTTCAAGTGATTCTTCCACCTCAGCCTCCCAAGTAGCTGGAATTACAGGCACCCGCCACCATGCCTGGCTAGTTTTTGTATTTTTGTAGAGACGGGGTTTCACCATGTTGGCCAGGCTGGTGTTAAACTCCTGACCTCGGGTGATCTGCCCACCTCGGCCTCCCAAAGTGCTGGGATTACAGGCATCAGCCACCTCACCCAGCCCTGTCTGTATACTTTAAATCATCTCTAGATTATTTATAATATGTAATACAATGTAAATAGTTGTATAGTTGTTATACTGTATTGTTTAGGAAATAATGATAAGGAAAAAGAGTCTGTACATGTTCGATACAGAAGCAATCTTTTGTCTGAATATTCTTCATCCACGGTTAGTTGAATCTATGGATGCAGACCCCTTTGGATACAGAGAACTGACTGCACTCATGTTCTGTAACAAAATGCACAAGTGCTAGTCTCTTAAAAGTTACTTGCAAGATATAATTTGAAACAATGAGTATTTTGTACTGTATTACATTTAAATCCACTTTTTTTTTTTTTTTAAAACAGGGTCTCACTCTGTTGCCCAGGCTGGAGTGCAGTGGTATGATCTCGGCTCACTGCAACCTCTGCCTCCCAGGCTCAGGTGATCCTTCCACCTCTCGAGTAGCTGGAATTACAGGCACGTGCTACTGAGACTGGCTGTGTCTGTTTTTAAAATAAACAATATATATCTCAATTTTTTTTTCTGGTTATAAAAGTAATAGATGCTTGTTACATGACATTCAAACCCCACAGAATTGTATAAAGTAGAAATTGAGAGTCTTGTGTAATCTCACTCCTCCCTCATACTCTTTGGCTTAAGTGCCTTCAATTTTTCATGTATGTGTGTGTGCTTACATACAGTTACTTCTCTGCAATTTTCTCCTTTTATTTATTATATCATGTAACTTTTGTTTGTTTGTTTGTTTTTTGAGACAGGGTCTCACTCTCTCACTCTGTCACCCAGGCTGTAGTGCAGTGGTGCAATCTCAGCTCACTACTACCTCTGTCTCTGGGTTCAAGTGATCCTCTCACCTCAGTCTCCCGAGTAGCTGGGACCACAGGTGCATTCCACCATGCCCAGCTAATTTCTGTATTTTTTGTAGAGACTAGGTTTCACCATTTTGCCCAGGCTGATCTCAAACTCCTGGACTCAAGCAATCTACCCTTCTTGGCCTGCCAAAGTGCTGGGATTACAGGTGTGAGCCATCACACCTGGCACACAGAACATCTTTTGATGTCAGAAAATATTGACCTACCTCATTCTTTTTTTTTTTGATGTCTTCCTTATATTTTATTCCATTCTTTTAATTAATTAATTTATTTTGTTGTTGTTATTATTATTATTATTTTTTTTTTTTTTTGAGATGGAGTCTTGCTCTGTCACCCAGGCTGGAGTGCAGTGTGCGCAATCTCGGCTCACTGCAAGCTCCGCCTCCCAGGCTCATGCCATTCTCCTGCCTCAGCCTCCCAAGTAGCTGGGACTTCAGGCGCCCACCACCACGCCTGGCTAATTTTTTGTATTTTTCGTAGAGACGGGGTTTCACCATATTAGCCAGGATGGTCTCGATCTCCTGACCTCGTGATCCGCCCGCCTAGGCCTCCCAAAGTGCTGGGATTACAGGTGTGAGCCACCGCGCCCGGCCTATTATTATGTTTTGAGACAGAGTTTCACTCTTTTGCCTAGGCTGGAGTGCAGTGGTACGATCTTGGCTCACTGCAACCTCTGCCTCCCAGGTTCAAGCGATTGTCCTGCCTCAGCCTCCAGAGTAGCTGGGATTACAGTTGCCTGCCACCACACCCAGCTAATTTTTGTACTTTCAGTAGAGATGGGTTTTCGCCATGTTGGCCAGGCTGGTCTCGAACTCCTGACCTCATGTGATCCGCCTGCCTCAGCCTCCCAAAGTGCTGGGATTACAGGCATGAGCCACTGCACTCAGCCCATTCTTTTTATTTTTTTATGTTGAATTAAATTAAAGTATTTTTTTTTTAGAGACAGGATCTTGCTGTGTTGCCTAGGTTGGTCTCAAACACCTGGCCTCAACCAATCCTCCCACCTTGGCCTCCCAAAGTGCTGAGATTTTAGGTGTGAGAGCCACCATGCCTGGCATCATTCTATGTCTCAAATCCAAAACCCTCACCCCTTGTCCAACACTTCATAAACATACCACAAATCAAAATCTCACAAGGGTAACTATTTAAATCATTTTACCTTCCTCTTTCCTTGCTCAAAAGGAATGCCCTGCATCATTAGACTATTGTTAATGCCTTTTGAAAAAAGTATGAAAAATAATTAATACTTTGTTTTTTATTAATAGTACAGTTTGAGATTTACAGACTAATTGAGCAAAGTAATACATAAAGTTCTATATACCCATCCTACTACCCTAGCCCATCCTTCATAGTCTCTCCTATTAATATTTTACCCTTGTTATACTTATTATAATCGATGAAAAAATATTGATATATTATTATTAACTGTAGTCCATAGTTTACATTAAGGTTCATTCATTGTGTTGTACAGTTCTAGGGGTTTTGACAATGTAATAACATGTAACCACCATTACATTTCCTTCCTATTCCCCTTTTCCTTCCTTCCTTCCTCCCTCTCTCCCTCCATCTCTCTCTCTTTCATTCTTTCTTTTCTTTTTTGAGACATGTTCTTACTTTGTCACCTAGGCTGGAGTGTGGTGACACAAATATGGCTGCAGTGTCAACCTCCTAGCCTCAAACGGTCCTCCCTTCTTGACCTCCTTTAATGCTGGGATTACAGGCATGAGCCATCGCGCCTGGCTAATCCACTGTTTTGAAATATCTATTGACACATTCATTTCCCCATGTTTCTCAGTGGATTGAGGTCCTCTCAGGAAAGGAATGTGCCCTCTTGTCCATTCCTGGGTCAGGACTGGCATGTCATAGGGGCTCAGTAAACTGGTGCCATGTAGGCCAGGTGCAGTGGCTCACACCTGTAATCTCAGCACTTTGGGAGGCCAAGGCGGGCGGATCACTTGAGGTCAGGAGTTCGAGACCAGCCTGGCCAACATGGCTAGACCCCATAAAAAAATACAAAAAATTGGCCCGGCATAGTGGCGCATGCCTGTAATCCCAGCTACTCGGGAGGCTGAGACAGGAGAATTGGTTGAACCTGGGGGGTGGAGGTTGCAGTGAGCCGAGATCGTACACACTGCACTCCAGCCTGGGTGACAGAGCAAGATTCTGTCTCAAAACAAAACAAAACAAAACCAACAACAACAACAAAAAACCTGTTGCATTGTAGATGTGAATGATCTGATAATATTAATATCACTAGCAGCAGATCCCCTCAGTGTGTGCCAGGCACCATTCTAAGCATTTTATCTGCGTGAGTTCATTTAATTCTCAGAATTACCCTAGGAGTAGGTGCTGTTATTATCCACATTTTGCAGATGAGGAAATTGAGGCTCAGAGAGGTTAACTGACTTGCCCAGGCAATGAGACTTTGAATCATATAAATTATTTCTGCAAATTGGATGAAATCTGTATACTCTAGGAATCTGCTGCAACATGATAATGTTGCAACTGGTTCTTTTTTTTTTTTTTTTTTCCCCCGAGATGGAGTCTTGCTCTGTCAATAGGCTGGAGTGCAATGGAGCAATCTCAGCTCACTGCAACCTCTGCCTCCCAGGTTCAAGTTATTCTCCTGCCTTAGCCTCCCAAGTAGCTGGGACTACAGGCACTCACCACCACACCTGGCTAGTTTTGTTTTGTTTTTTTTTTTTTTTTAGTAGAGATGGGGTTTTACCATGTTGGGCAGGATGGTCTTGATCTCTTGACCTCGTGATCAACCCGCCTTGGCCTCCCAAAGTGCTGGGATTACAGGCATGACCCACTGCTTCTGGCCAGCACCTGGTTCTTTGTAATGACTTTTCATCATTTCCCGTGGCCCCAACTCTGGCTCTCTGGTTTTTACTTGGATTAAGCTATGTTGCCCAGGCTGGCCTCAAATTCCTGGGCTCAAGCAATCCTCCTGCCTTGGCCTCCCAAGTAGCTGGGATTACAGGTGTGTGCCACTGAGAATGGCTCTTGGCTCTCTAGTTTTATTAATATTAGGAATTTTTAGGATTAACTTAAATGATGAGATAAAATTTCAAGAAATTAAATAGTATTTCAAAATCTTTCAAATTTGCTTCTGAACCCCATTGATGTCCATTTTCCAAAGCTAAAATCAGAGTAGATTTTGTGCTCTTTTATTGGAGGGGTCTGGGGGGTTGGATACCGTACGTGATGACTCAGGTGAATGAATGCTGTTGTCCCTGCAGCCCCCTACCCTCGGTGCAGGCTTGTGAAGGTGGGCTTGGACTTGGCCATTGTCTTAGTTCAGGATGCTATAACAAAAATGTCACAGATTGGGTGGTTTAAACAACAGAATCGGCTGGGCACGGTGGCTCACACCTGTAATCTCAGCACTTTGGGAGGCCGAGGTGGGCGGATCACCTGAGGTCAGGAGTTTGAAACCAGCCTGATCAATATGATGAAAACCCGTCTCTACTAAAAATACAAAAATTAGCTGGGTGTGGTGGTGTGCGCCTGTAATCCCAGCTACTCGGGAGGCTGAGATAGGAGAATCACTTGAACCCAGTAGGTGGAGGTTGCAGTGAGTCGAGATTGTGCCACTGCACTCCAGCCTGGACGACAGAATGAGACTCCATCTCAAAAAATAAAATAAAATAAAATAAAATAAAATAAAATAAAATAAAATAAAATAAAATAAAATAAAATAAAAAATAAACAACAGAATTTTTTTTCTGTTGGTTCTGGAGTCTAAAAAGTCCAAGATCAAGGTGCTGGTTGATTCGGTTCCTGGTGATGGCCCTCTTCCTGATTATGACCTCATGTGGCAGAGAGAGATCTCTCACCTGTCTCTTTTTACAAGGGCACTAATCCCATTTATGAAGGCATGACATAATTACCTCCCAGAGACCCTGCCTCCAAACACCATCACACTGGCTTAGGGCTTCAGCATATGAATTTTGGAGGACACAAACATTCAGTCCAGGCCAGGCACGGTGGCTCACGCCTGTAATCCCAGCACTTTGGGAGGCCGAGGTGGGAGGATCGCTTGAGGTCAGGAGTTCAAGACCAACCTGGCCAACATGGTGAAACCTCGAGAATTAAAAATACAAAAACTCAGGCTGGGCACAGTGCCTCACGCATGTAATCCCAGCACTTTGGGAGGCCGAGGCAGGCGGATCACAAGGTCAAGAGATCGAGACCATCCTGGCCAACATGGTGAAACCCTGTCTCTACTAAAAATACAAAAATTAGCCGGGTGTCGTGGTGGGTGCCTATAGTCCCAGCTACTTGGGAGGCTGAGGCGGGAGAATCTCTTGAACCCGGGAGGTGGAGGTTGCAGTGAGCTGAGATCGCGCCACTGCACTCCAGCCTGGCGACAGAGCAAGAGTCCATCTCAAAAAATAAAAATAAATAAAAATAAATAATAAAAACTACCTGGGCATGGTGGTGCACACCTGTAATCTCAGCTACTCAGGAGGCTGAGGCAGGAGAATTGCTTGAACCTGGGAGGTGGAGGTCATAGTGAGCTGAGATCATGCCACTGCACTCCAGACTGGGTGACAAAGTGAGACTCCATCTCAAAAAAAAAAAAAAAAAAGAGAAACAAACAAGCCAAAAAACACTCAGTCCATAGCAGCCACCAAGTGTGAGTTGGGTCTGGCTGTGGGCAGTACAGAACCTGTGTGGTGGAGGGAGGGGACAACGCGAGGGCACCGAGGCAGTGACAATTCAGGAGAATGCTACATTTAGGGATCCTGGGGAGGGGGAAATAGCAGACGAGAAGAGAGGGAGGTGGAGGCCATGGACTGTTAGAAGCTGTTCAGAGTTGCTTGTGTATGGCGTGGGAAGCTCCTGTGGGTATCTGAGCTGTGGAGTAGCTGCTCAGGACTGGGCTTTGGGAGGACAGTGCTGGAAGCAGCAGGTAGGGCAGATTGGGTGGGGGAGGGGGCACAGACAGCTGGCAGGGAAATAAGTTTGGAGATGACCATAAATAGCTCTGCTGTCAACGCCTCTCCCACAACTCTCTCCTCCTCCTATTCTCTGATTTCTAATAATGGCTGTGCCATTCTTCCAGCCCCAGGGATGGAAGTCTGAGTCACTCTGACTCCTCCCCCGGCCATGCCCCATGTCAAACCAGCTACAATTCCTGCTGATTCTATCTCCTCTATACCATCTCTGGAGTCCTGCCTCTCTTGGGGGTTCCGCCAGCACCCTGTGTCAGGCCTGTCCCTAGCTCAGGAACTCTTGTCTCCCTTCCCCAGGCTCTATCCCAATACCCTCTCACCACTGTTGCCAAATGTTACTGTCTGCCTATTGCACACCACAAAACGAATGCCCTGGAATGTTGGCTGGATGAAATGTGAGTCCCCGCGGGATTCACTCCTGTAATGCCAGCACTTTGGGAGGCCAAGGTGGGAGGATCACTTGAGCCCAGGAGTTCCAGAACAGCCTGGGAAACATGCTGAAACCCTGTCTCTACAAAAAATGCAAAAATTAGCCAGGCATGCACCTGTAGTCCCAGCTACTCGGGAAGCTGAGGAGGGAGGATTGCTTGGGCCTGGGAGGTCGAGGCTGCGGTGAGCTGAGATTGCACCACTGCACCACTGCACCACTGCACTCCAACCTGGGCAAAGAGTGAGACCCTGTCTCGAAAGAAAGAAAGAAAAAGACTGGTGCGGTGGCTTGTGCCTGTAATTCCAGCTACTTGGGAGACTGAAGCAAGAGAATCACTTGAACCTCGGAGGCAGAGGTTGCCCTGAGCTGAGATCACACTGCTGCACTCCAGCCTGGGCAACAGAGCAAGACTCCATCTCAAAAATAAAATAAAATAAAATAAAATAAAATAAAATAAAATAAAAGAGCCTGGGCGTGGTGGCTCATGCCTGTAATCCTAGCACTTTGGGAGGCCGAGGTGGGCTGATCACCTGAAGTCAGGAGTTCAAGACCAGCCTGGCCAACATGGTGAAACCCCCATCTCTACTCAAAATACAAAAATTAGCTGGGCATGGTGGTGCGTACCTGTAATCCCAGCTACTTGAGAGGCTGAGACAGGAGAATTGCTTGAACCTCGGAGGCAGAGGTTGCAGTGAGCCGAGTCCCACCATTGCATACCAGCCTGGGCAACAGAGCAAGACTCTGTCTCCAAAGAAAAAAGAAAAAGAAATGTGAGTCCCTGACTGCTCCCAGCTGTCCTGTCCGGCCTCCCCCCAGACCTCAGAGCTCTTTGAAGAGGCAGCTAGATGGACGCTCCTCCCCCAGGCTCTCCAGGGGCCCCTGCATCCGAGGTGCTTTTCTCCTTGCCAGATGTTTCAAGCGTCATCTACACTCCTCTTGGGACACTTTCTTTCTTTTTTTTTTTTAAAATAGAGATTAAGGTCTCACTCTGCTGACCAAGCTGGTCTCAAACTCCTGAGCTCAAGGAGTTTGCCTTGACCTCCCAAAGTGCTGGGATTACAGGTGTGAGCCACCACGCCCAGCAGACATTTTTCTCTTGTGCCTGGGTTTATGGTGATTGTATACATGTGTGTCTGGCTCCCAGAGGGTGGGGACGGAGTGATACAAATTTTTGTGCCTCCACAGGGAACTTGCACGTGACCTAAATTCAATGACAAATTGGGGTTTGATTGAAAATGTGGAGGGGTGGAAATTTTCAATTCCACTGACCCCAGATGGGAGGATCTGAGCCCCTTTCCTTTAAACACCATCTTTCTCTGCAGCAGCTTTCAGGGCCAATAGTTACCATCACCAGGAATTCCAGACCAGCACAATAAATAGGGGCTGTGGTTTCTCCCTCTTTCTCCTTCAAAAAGTAACAGAAAAAAAATTAGCCGGGCATGGTTGCATGTTCTTGTTGTCCAAGCTACTGAGGAGGCTAAGGTGGGAGGATCACTTGAGCCCGGGAGGTCGAGGCTTCAGGGAGCCATGATCATACCATTGCACTCCAGCCTGGGCAACAGAGTGAGACCCTGTCTCGGAAAAAACAAAAAAACAGTAATGGAATATGGGCCAGGTATGTTGATTTGAACTGGAGTTTTACTGCTTCCCAGCAGTGTGACATTGAGCAAGTGTGGTAACCTCTACGAGCCAAATGGAGCTGGCATCAGCTGCCTCACCAAACAGGATTTACGGGAAAGGCTGGCGTGGAGCTGGGGCCCTGGGAGGCAGGTAGTTAGAATCCGTTTAAAGATTTTGCCTCAATTGCCTCCAGCTGCTGCTGTGCTTACAAGGCACACAAGTGCTCCCCCTCTGATCCCTCAGCAGGCAAAGACCAGACTCTGGAACACACCTACAGTGCTGCCTCTGGCCAGGCCTCTGAGATATGAGTCCAACATGCAGAGAAAGGGGCAAGTCCTTGGTGGGGGGAGGGGGACAGCAATTTCATTACCGCCATTTCAGAGGTGGCAGTATGGGTGGCTGACATACGTAAGTCTGATTGTTTGGACCAGAAGGATCTTCAGGGGTCCAGTCTTCCAGTTTACAGGTGTGGACATTGAGATCCAGGCACCTGATAATACCAGGTTGGCAGGAAAGTCAAATGCCAGAGGCTTCCATGGTCTCTACTTGTGTTTGGAGCAACAGAATTCTGAACAGAGTCAAAGGGATAAGGGGTCTTTCTGGCACAAGCTGGCCCAAGACCAGGCCTTTGACAGAGGCCTCAGACTCTGGGGGGCCCAAAAGCAGCCCTCCCTTGGGCTCAGCCTTCTGGATCCCATGGCCAGAGTAGTAGTTCTGCCGGCTAGGACTTGGTGAGGGGAGCTTTGAAGTCACTAGTTGAAGGTCACCTTCCTGGTCCAGCTCCACCTGGCAATGTTGACTGTGAGGTAGTGGAGGGGAGGGCTGAGAACACAGAAGAGAAAGGTTGCTCCTATTTGGAGTGAATTAGCGTGACTGGGAAAGCAGAGAAGGGAAAGAGGTCAGGTTTTTCCAAATAAAACCCAGCCCTCAGCTGGTGTCTTAGTTTAAGAAAACAGATGAAGAGAGAAACTTTGTTTGTGGCAGAATCAATTACAACTGTCTTTTGTGGCCAGGTGCAGTGGCTCACACCTGTAATCCCAGTGCTTTGCGAGGCCGAGGCGGGAGGATCATTTAAGCTTAGGAGCTGGAGACCAGCCTGGGCAACATAGTGAGATCCCCCCATCTCTATTTTTAATTAAAACAAACAAACAAACCCATCTTTTATATGCAAACAGGCAAAAATGGAACTGTTTCTACTGTGGCTGTTTGACTACTCTAGGGTCTCAGAAAACAACACCCCAAAATGCAGGCCTCAGGAGCAGCTCTCTCTGACCCTCTCCCTCCCTCCTGTCTTTGGCCCCTCACTCTCCTCCGAGGCCAGCCATAGAAACTGGAATCCTTCTTCCTCAAGGCAGGTCATAGAAACCAGAGCCCTTCTCCCCCAAAGCCAGACATCGAACCCAAAAATATTACTCTTTCTCCCACACATTTCTGGGTAAAAACTGGCCATAAATTATCTGACCTACCTTGTTTGCTTGCAGGTCCTAAGACCCCTCCATCCCAGAGAGAGTCCTGCCCCGTACTCAGAAGGAAGGAATGCTGCAGAGAAAGGTCAAGAAGAATCTACACGGACAGGACTTGCTGGGTTTCCCCACTCAGGTTATTGGCCTTCTGGTCCAATCATATTTCTTTTTTCGTGGTTTTTTTTTTTTTTTTTTGAGACGGAGTCTCACTCTGTTGCCCAGGCTGGAGTGCAGTGGCATGATCTCAGCTCACTGCAATCTCTGCCTCTCAGGTTCAAGTGATTCTCCCGCCTCAGCCTCCTGAGTAGCTGGGATTACAGGCGCGCGCCACCATGCCCGATCAATTTTTGTATTTTTAGTAGAGACAGGGGTTTCATTATGTTAGCCAGCCTGGTCTCGAACTCCTGACTTCAAGTGATCCGCCTGCCTCGACCTCCCAAAAGTTCTAGGATTACAGACGTGAGCCACCGCGCCCGGCCCAAAGTGAGATTTCAACTCTCTCTACACCAGCTGGACCTGACAGCGGACTCGCGGAGGCGCAGACGCCGCCGGCGGTCTTAGCTCAAGAATGAAGCAGCCGCACTGGGCTAATGCGCCTTTGGGTTCAGCCCGGCAGGCGAGGGAAGCAAGAGTTCGCTCAGATTGGCTTTTGGGTTTAAGCTAAAGCGTCAGAAACTGACATCCAGGTTTACATGGGGCATCCTGGAGAGGGTCAGCCTCGCAAGCGGCTCTGCTAATCCCCCAGCCCTGATCCCGCTCGCGGGTCCCGGTGGGTCTCACGCCTGTAGCTCCTGCGGAGCTGGGCTTTCAGCGGCGCCCAGAGAAGCACCAGCCGGGCCTGGCCGCCGGGTCCCGGCTCCCGCGGGACGCTGGAGGCGTCGGCGGCCCTGGCCCCGCCTCCTCCCCGGCAAGGCCCAATGGGGCGGCAGGCCCGGCAGCCCCGCCCCGGTGGTGCCCGCGCGGCCAGCGCCCGCCAGGCCCAGCGTTAGCCCGCGGCCAGGCAGCCGGGAGGAGCGGCGCGCGCTCGGACCTCTCCCGCCCTGCTCGTTCGCTCTCCAGCTTGGGATGGCCGGCTACCTGCGGGTCGTGCGCTCGCTCTGCAGAGCCTCAGGCTCGCGGCCGGCCTGGGCGCCGGCGGCCCTGACAGCCCCCACCTCGCAAGAGCAGCCGCGGCGCCACTGTGAGTGCCGCGCGGAGGGTCCAGGCAGGCGCGCGCCCCCAGCTGCGACGTGGCGGCTTCCCAGGCTGGGGCCGGGAAGCACGTCCCGCCAGCCCGCAGCCCGGGGACGGCGGGGTCAGGCGCACAAAGGGCCGCGGGGCAGCTTCGCTCCGCGCTCCCCCGCCCGGCGCTTCCCGGCCGTGCCAGGCGCTGGGGTGGGGACTTGAGGGACGGTGGCAACTGGTGGCCCGGGCGACGGCCAGCTCTGCGCGGGCGGGGGCTCGGGGCTGCCGCGCGCCCCTAGGTATTTCGGGAGGGGGTCCTGAGAGTGTCCCGGACCCGAAGGGTGGCCTGCCCGCCCTGCGCCCCTGGAACGAGACGAGCACCCGTGGGGGGCTGGAGCACCCCGCGCGCTCCCCTGGCGAGAGGGAGGGTCGTGGCTCGGCCCCTGCTCAGACAAAGGCTGGGAGGCGGGAGACATGCACTTCCCCTTCCTTTTCAGCCAGGCGCGCGCTGATACCAGGCCCACGTCAGCTATTTTTGGAGCCTTTTACACGACAGCTGGAGGAGCGTCCTTTTTAATTTTCCCCTTTTGTTTGGCCGCCCCCACCCCCACCCCTTCGCCTTCATCGCTGCACTTGAGGCTCCATCCTGGGGCCTCTCCTTGACTTGACCTGCCTTGGCAGGCACATGCCCTCCCTGCCTGGCTCACTCGCCGCAGAGACCTGGCAGCCCGCGCAAAATGTCACTTTGCGGAATCGTTCCCACGGCTTCTGGGTACCCTTAGTTCCCTGCTTAGGAGGGAAGACAGTAGTCGGGTCGTAATAAGCAAGACTTAGCCCGAGCCTCCGTTGCCAACGCAGGCTGCCTTGCTTGGCGTGTGGGCATCGGCCTGCCCCCTCACCCTGGCTACCCAACACAGCTACAAAAGGCAGGGAACAATGTAGGTCCCTTGGCCCTGCCTAATGCCTGTTGCCATGGAAACCCCTATCCTAATCTGGCCAGGAGCCCCTTGCAGTGAGCCAGGAGAGTGAGGAAGAGGGGATGGGGCCCGCTGGCCCTGACCTGGCCAGAGGAGGTAATGGTTAACCGGATTGTGGGAGCAGCTGACTAGAGCCGGGGGGGTAGGGAGGCTTGGGCCCCAGTCCTACCTTCCCTGCCAAGGAGAAAGGGGCATGTCTGCTTTTGTACCTCTGGGAATCTACCTCAGGGATCTGCCCAACAACTCCCAGGTTCCAAGTGCCCCAGGACCCAAAGATTCCCATATAGCACACCACCTTCAGCAAAAATATGGTGGAAGTTAGCCACATTCTTTAATTCTCCCTTTTTTTCTGCCTTGATGGTAAAAAAAAAAAAAAGAAACAAACAACCCGAAAAACACACACAAACAGGAACACAAAGCGCCTTTTAAGGGTCCTGAATTTGGATACAGAAAAAGCAGTCAGTTGCAGGCCCTTCTAGAAGTCCCCATGTGGGTTGGTTATGAATGGGGAAATTGCTTGGTGTTGGAGTTGGACATCAGACTCTACAGTTGCGACTCTGCCAGCTTGTTACCTGGCAACGCAGCTGGAGACAGAATACTTGGCATTCCCCTTGATGACAAGGAAAGAATATTTTGGGGCTAAAAGAGCCCCGTGTCTTTGCTGCCTGGTAATTCCTGCACGCATCTTTTCCTATTTTGCAACGCCATAGGCTTCCAGCGACTGCTGGTGATGTTTCTGGTAAGTTAGAGCTTGGGGCAGTGCGGACCAGTTCTGTGAACGGCTCAGTGGCAGAATTACTTATCTAGCCTTCCTTCACTCCTAACCCAGAAACTTCTTAATTCTTGCCCCTTAAGTGTGCAGATCTTTCTGCCACGTCAGATAAGGCCCTAGCTGCCCTGCCAGAGCTGATTGGGGTGGTTGTGTTTAGGCCTAGTAGGTACTGAGGAAAAGCCTCTTTGGAATGGCTGAGGCCTGCTCCCACATCTTCTGTGTGAAGTTGAGGGCCCTTGGGCTGGTTCCATTCAGGGTATGAGGTGCTGGAAACTGCTCTCAGATTACTGGAAGCCAGGGTCTGTGGCCTTCCCTGGGGTTTATACTCTGTAAACCCATGTTAAAAATACCAGCAGATTGCAAATATTAGTACACTGTAGGTTGTAAGCTTCTTCAGGGCATGGGGCCTATTGCTGGAGAGAGATGCCACCCGTGTACATCTGGTGCAGGCTGCTGGTAAGAACTCACTGGCCCCTGTGTGGCAATGCATACCAGATGGGTGAGAGGGGAGGAAACACATTCAGTGAAACAGAAGGTGAGGGCAGGGCAGCCCTGACCACAGATGGAGTTGACTTCAACTTGACCTTTATTTATGTCTTTGACAAAAGTAGTATACTCCTACTTTGTGCCAGACACCATGCCGGGTGCTGGGGATAGAGCTGGGAATAAAACCAGCAGAGACTCTTTCAAAACCCTTAGGAGCTCAAATTCTGATGTGGGAGGGGGCAGACAGTAAGCAAGATAGATGTTGACTAGTATGATATATGGGTACAAGAGCTAAGGAAGGCCAGGCACTGTGGCTTACACCTGTAATCCCAGAATTTTGGGGGGCTGAGGTGGGAGGATTGCTTGAGGCTGGGAGCTCCAGACCAGCCTGGGCAATATAGTGAGACCCCATCTCTACAAAAATAAAAAATAAAATTAGCCAGGCACGATGGTGCATGTCTGTGGTCTTAGCTACTCAGGAGGATCATTTGAGCCCAGGAGGTCAAGGCTGCAGTGAGGTACAATTGTGCCACTGCACTCTAGCCTGGGTGACAAAGCAAGACCCTGCCTCCCCCTTCTCCCCCCAAAAAGAGAAGAGCTAAGGAGAAACAGGCAAGAAAGGTGTGTGCACAAAAGTTTGTATAGGGCAGCCAGAAAAGTCCTCACTGAAGGAATCGCTGAGGAGGGGAGGAAGCAGGCCATTTTCGGTATTGGGGGAAGAGGGACTCGCAGGTGCCAAGGGCATGATGGAAGAGCAGAGAGGATGGTGCGAAGGCTGGCTCAGCAGGCACCAGGTGGAGTGACAGGATGAGGTTCGGCAGTGGGGTCTGTAGAGGGCTCACAGGCCATTTTTGAGAGCTTTCGCTTTTACTTTGCAGGGTTTTGAGAGGAGTATCGTTACCTGATTTCCATCTTATCGGGAGCATTCTAGCTTCAGGGACCTGGCAAGAGAGGATGATGGCTTGGACCTGGGTGGTGGCGCTGGGGATGGTGAAGAAGTGGTTGGATTCTGGATATATTTTGAAGGAGGAGCCAGTAGTGGGGAAAGGTTCCAATTCAGGCGATTTTACATAAAAATCTAGATACGCAGCAGGCACTCACTTATGGCAAGGGTGGGCTTGTCTGAGGGTGGCTTCTGGTTTTGGTGGTTTGGATGTGAGAGAAGGGAAGGAATGAAGGATGACACCAAGGAGTCTACTAGAGTTTGTTCCAAAATGGCTGTTCTGGCCGCGTGCGGTGGCTCCCAGGACTTTGGGAGGCCGAAGCAGGCGGATCAGTTGGGGCCAGGAGTTCGAGACCTGCCTGGCCACCATGGTGAAACCCGGTCTCTACTAAAAATACAAAAATTAGCTGGGTGTGGTGGCAGGCGCCTGTAGTCCCAGCTACTCAGGGGCTGAGGCAGGAGAATTGCCTGAACCCAGGAGGTGGAGCTTGCAGTGAGCCGAGATCACGCCACTGCCCTCCAGTGTAGGCGACAGAGTGAGACTCTGTCTCAATACATACATACATACATACATACATACATGCATGCATACATACATACATACATACATAAAATATACAAAGTTGCTGTCCTGCCTTCTTGAGCCCCCAGGAATTGGAACCTTTCCCCACTCTCTGATCTTTTGCTGGGACATGCTGACTGAGCAGCCTTTCTGCTGAGAGCATGGGTAGGAATGTGGAGGGAGCAGTTATGCCTGGGGCTGGCTGCCTGCGGCTGGACCTCTAGCCTCCTGCTGGGAGCAGCAAGAAGCCAGGGATGTGTTTTGAAATCCTTACTTGGTATTGGGTGCTAGGAGCCCCAGACAGGGAGGAGAGTCAGCCTAACGTGCCTCTGGTGACTGGTGTAATTCCATCCTGCACTCTCGCCAAGAGGACAGTGTTTGTGCAATGCATCAGCTGAAGATTCGTGGTGGCTGTCACTTCGGAGGTTTTCAGGGAGGCCTAGCTGCTGCTCTGTGTATTTCAGGTAGCTTGTCACCACTTATCTCTCAGAGAAGGGCAGACCATGGCTGTATCTCCACCATACAGGCTGAACAGCAGACAGGGGTCTCAAACTCCAGTGCCCTGGGCCACACTGGAGGGCACTTGGCTGTCATGGAGTGAAGGGAGAGGCCGCCTTCAGCCCAGCCCATCCTTGCCATGAGTGAGTGCCTGCTGCATTTCTAGATTTTTATATAAAATCTCCTGATTTTTTTTGACTGGTTTAAATTTTTATTATTTTGGTAAAAAACGTATAAAACTTACCATCTTAGTCATTGTTCAGTGTACAGTATTGTTAAGTACATTCGCACTGTTGTGCAGACATTACCACCATCCATCACCAGAACTTTGTCACCTTGCAAAACCGAAACTCTCTACCCATGAAACAATACCTCCCCACTTCCCGTCCCCAGTCCCTGGCAGCCACCTTTTTACTTTCTGTTTCTATGAATTTGACTATTCTAGGTACCTCATGTAAGTAGAAGCATATAGTATTTGTCTTTTGTGACTGGTTTATTTCACTTAGTTAGCATAATGCCCCCCAGGTTCATCCACTTTGTAGCAGGTGTCAGAATTTCCCTTCTTTTCAAGGCTGAATCATATTCCATTGTATGTAGATAACAGTAGTCCCCCTTATCCTTGGAGGATGCATTTCAAGATCCCCAGTGGATACCTGAAACTGCAAAGCCTGTAGATACTATGTTTTTTTCCTATACATACAGATCTATGATAAAGTTTAATTTATGAATTAGGAACAGTAAGAGATTAGCAATAATAACTAGTAATAAAATAGAACAATTATAACAATATACTGTAATGAAAGTTACATGAATGTGATCTCTTAAAATATCTTACTGTACTGTACTCACCTATTTTCAGACTATGGTTGACTGTGGGTAACTGACACCACAGGTAACTGACGTCATGGAAATAAAACCTTTGATAAGGGGGGACTGTATCACATTGTCTTTATCCATTCATCTGTGATGGACACGTGGGTTGCTTCTATCTTTTGCTGTTGTGAACATTGCTGCTATGAATGTGGGCATACATATATCTCTTTCAGACCCCGCTTTCGATATTTTTGGATGTATATACAGAAGCAGAATTGCTGGATCATATAGTAATTCTTGTCCTTTTCTTTTCTTTTTTTTTTTCGAGACGGAGTCTTGCTCTCTTTCGCCCATGCTGGAGTGCAGTGGCGCGATCTCAGCTCACTGCAAGCTCCGCCTCCCGGGTTCATGCCATTCTCCTGCCTCAGCCTCCCCAGTAGCTGGGACTACAGGCGCCTGCCACCACGCCTGGCTAATTTTTTGTATTTTTAGTAGAGTCAGGGTTTCACTGTGTTAGCCAGGATGGTCTCGATCTTCTGACCTCGTGATCCACCCGCCTCAGCCTTCCACAGTGCTGGGATTACAGGTGCGAGCCACCGTGCCCGGCAGTAATTCTTTTCCTTTTAGCTAAGGAACACCCATACTGTTTTCCACAGCAGCTGCACCATTTCACATTCCCACCAACAGGGCACAAGAGTTCCAATTTCTCCACATCCTTGCTAGCACTTTATTTTCTGTTTTGTTTTTCTTTTCCTGATAGTAGCTCTCTTAGTGGTTGTGAGGGGATAGTGGGGTGATATCTCATTATGGTTTTGATTTGCATTTCCCTGATGATTAGTGATGTTGAGCATCTTTTCATGTGCTTGTTGGCCATTTGTATATCATCTTTGGACTTGAAATGTCTATTTAAGTCTTTTGTCCATTATATTTATTTATTTATTTTGAGATGGAGTCTTCCTGTTACCCAGGCTGGAGTGCAGTGGCATGATCTCTGCTCACTGCAACCTCCACCTCCTGGGTTCAAGCAATTCTCCTGCCTCAGCCTCCCAAATAGCTGGGACTACAGGTGTGTGTCACCACACCAGGCTAATTTTTTTTCTATTTTTAGTAGACACAGAGTTTCACCATTGTGGCCAGGCTGGTCTCGAACTCCTGACCTCAAGTGATCTGCCCTCTTCAGCCTTCCAAAGTGCTGGGATTACAGGCATGAGCCACGGTGCCCAGCCAGTCTTCTGTCCATTTTAACGTTGAGTTATTTGTTTTATTGTTGAGATTTACTGATTTTTAAAACTTGGTCACCAATTAAGATTTTTTTAAAAAACCAGTACCTGGAACAAGCAGAACAAGTCTCTGCTGGCCTTGGCTCATGTTGCTGTTCTCAGTTCCCCTGGGATGTTTGCTTCCAGGGAGGCCTGGGCACTCCTGACTTTGGTGACAGCCCTGCTTGCTCTCTCTCTGTTACCTGTAGGTTTCCCCTTCCACATTCACTGCCTCCGGGCAGGCACTGTTGTGTTTTAGGCATTTCAGTATCCCAGTGGGGTACTGGATAAGTGCTTAGTTAGCACCTGCCGGTGAGTAAATAATCAGGTCCTGTGGTCTCTGAGGGTTTGACACATCAGGTCTTTGATCTTGACCTTGAACTCTCCTAGCCATGCCTGCCTGAAGCCCAACCGTGGAGCCCAGGCTGAGGCTGAAACCTGAAGAACTGGCCCCAAGTGAGTCTCTCCTTAGGGCTCCTGATTATGATAGTTCATTTTTTTTTTTTTTTAACAAATTTGATTAGCTGTCCTCAAATTAACTCATAGGAGATGCTCCCCAGAACTAAACTAGCTCTGCAACAGCTCAACAGACTTTCCGCAGGTTCTGCAGCTCTTTCCACTCAAGCTTCAGAAAAAAGTGAAGGAATATTGTAGATTGGGTTCAAAATCCCCATCGCGTCTTGGGAAAGGCAGTAGAGCCAGCAGCCAGCCACCTTTTGTTCTCTAGGGAATGGAATAGTCCAAGGCTGTGTTTGTGTTCTGCTTCTCTACATCTGACCCACGGGTCTTCCAGAGGCTGCATTTGGGTCAGGGACCTGGGCTCTATCTTGCCTCTGATGCAGACCACACTCTCTGAGTCTCATTATTCCCCCTAAATGATCTCTAAGATTATTTTTAGATTAAAAAAAAAAAACAAACTCTTTGCATATCTTTGGAAAGTCAGTTGTTTGAGGTCTGTTAGGCTTTAATCACTTTTGTTTTAAATGTGCCGAGGTGGTTTCTAGGCCTGCTTTTCACAGGTATTCTGTCCCTTGTCAGTTCTTCCCACCCAGTTTTTTTTGTTTGTTTGTTTGTTTTTTTGAGATGGAGTCTCGTTCTGTTGCCCAGGCTGGAGTGCAGTGCCGTGATCTTGGCTTACTGCAACCTCCACCTCCCGGGTTCAAGCGATTCTCCTGCCTCAGCCTCCTCGGTAGCTGGGATTATAGGCACGTGCCACCATGCCTAATTTTTCTATTTTTAGTAGAGATGGGGTTTCACCATGTTGGCCAGGCTGGTCTTGAACTCCTTACCTTGAGTGATCCACCTGCCTCAGCCTCCCAAAGTGCTAGGATTACAGGCATGAGCCATTACACCCAGCCCCAACCCAGTGTTTTCAAATAATCATTCTCTTCCCTTCACCTGATTTGCTGTGTCTAATCTAGAGTGGAGCTGAAGACACATCACCACCTCTCTAAGGACTGTGTGTAACACAAGAGTAATTGGGCTGTAAGTGAGGCTGAGGAGTGCTGCTTTGAGGAAAGGGCACAGCTCTCAGCTGAGCTGGTGAGATTTCCCTGTGACTGAAGTTTTATTAGATCTTGTTCCCTGCTCTGCATTTGCTGCTTCTTCCCAGGCTGTGGGCAGAGGAGCAGGCTGGTGCCCCGGTGCCCCTATCTGCTGCAGGCTGAGGTTCAACAAGCCTTGTCCAAGGCAGCTGTACTGATTCATTGTTAGGTGGCCAGTTCCTGAGTTTTCTTTGAAATTCACTTCCCAGACTGTTGGGTATTCCTGCGAGTCAGACTCTCCTTCAGTAGCGTCCCCTGCCCCCTACCCTCCACTGGTCTCCCTGGACCTCTGATCAGCCCCTCATTGAGTCCTTTGATGCTTCTCTGGTAGGACTGACCCACCTGCGTCGGCTGGGATCAAGGGTTCTGAGTTCCATTCGCAGGTGCTGTAAGCCTGTCCTTCCTGTTGAATAGGGTCAGAGTCCTCGTGACTCTGCTGTTTTCAAGCTCTGTAACCTTGGGCAGTAAGCTGTTAACCTCTCTGAGCCTCAGTTTCCCACACTTAAAATGGAGATAATGGCCAGGCGTGGTGGCTCACGCCTGTAATCCCAGCACTTTGGGAGGCCAAAGTGGGTGGATCACCTGAGGCTAGGAGTTCGAGACCAGCCTGGCCAACATGGCAAAACCCCGTCTCTACTAAAAATACAAAAATTAGCCGGGCCTGGTGGCGTGTGCCTGTAATCCCAGCTACTCAGGAAGCTGAGACAGCAGAATCGCTTGAACCCGGGAGGCAGAGGTTGCAGTGAGCCGAGATCACGCCATTGCATTCCAGCCTGGGTGACAGACCAAAGACTCTGTCTCAAAAAATAAATAAATAAATAAATAAATTAATTAATTAAATAAAATGGAGGTAATGATACCTCCTTGGGGTTGTTTTTGGGATTAAATGGAATCACATTGTACAGCATTGGTACACTGTAAGGCACATAGTAGGCACTCAATACCTATCTATACTATTTCCTTTATCACCACAAGTTAGTTGAGGGCTCTTGGGTTGCACGCAACAGACAAAGTTAGTGACTGGTTAACTTGGAGAGGATTTTATTATGAGCTACACAGCGTAGCTCATAGAATTGCAGGGAAAACTATAAAGAACTAAGTCTTGGACAAAAGTAATATCTTGGCATGGGCCTGTAGCCCCAGCTACTAAGGAGGCTGAGGTGCAAGGATTGCTTGAGCCCCGGAGTCTGAGCCTGGCTTGGGCAACAGAGAGAGATAAAGAGACCCTGACTCTAAACAATAAGTAAATACATAAAAGAGGACCCAGGCCCTCCTTAGGAACTGGATGGCAGGAGCCCCTGGACAACCTCTTACTGATTTGGTGCTGGATGAGGCAGCCGCAGCTAGCCAGTGTTCTTTGTGTTGATCTCCTCTGCCTTCATATTCCAGGGGGAGAGGGTCTGACAGGCCAGACTGGCCCCCACCCTCTTGGCCACTGGTGGGCTGGGCATGTTTTTGGGTAGTTCTACCTAGCCAGATTAAAGTGGGGGTGGGGTGGGGAGTCCAGCCAGCCTGGGCAACAGGGCAAGACTCCATCTCTACAAAAAAATTTTAAAATTAGGCTGGCACGGTGGCTCACGCCTGTAATCCCAGCACTTTGCGGGGGTCAAGGCAGGTGGATCACTTGAGGTCAGGAGTTTGAGACCAGCCTGGCCAACATGGTGAAACCCTGTCTCTACTAAAAATACAAAAAATTAGCCAGGTGTTGTGGTGCACACCTGAAATCCCCGCTACTTGGGAGGCTGAGGCCCGAGAATCACTTGAACTCGGGAGGCGGAGGTTGCAGTGGGCTGAGATCATGCCACTGCACTCCCACCCTGGGGGACAATAGCGAAACTTCGTCTCAGAAAAAAAAAAAATTAAAAATAGCTGGGTGTGGTGGCATGCGCCTGTAGTCCCAGCTACTTGGGAGGCTGAGGTCAGAGGATCACTTGAAGCCAGGAAGTCAATGCTGCAGTAAGCTATGATGGCATCAGTGCATTCCAGCCTGACCAATGGAACAGGACCCTGCCAAGAAAGAGAGAGAGAAAGGGAGGAAGGAACGAAAGGAAGGAAGGAAGGAAAGAAAGGAAAGGAAGGAAAGAAAGGAAAGGAAGTAAGTAAGGATGGATGGATCCAGGTGCTCTAAACCAGCAGTTCCCAAAGTTTTTGGCACCAGGGGCCAGTTTCATGGAAGACAATTTTTCCACGGGTGGCAGGGTGGTGGGCAGCGGGGATGGTTTTGGGATGAGTCAAGTGCATTACATTTATTGTGCACTTTATTTCTATTATTATTACATTGTAATATATAATGAAAAAATTATATAGCTCACCATAATGTACAATCGGGGGGTCCTGAGCTTGCTTTCCTGCAACTAGACAGTCCCATCTGGAGGTGCTGGAAGACAGTGACAGATCATCAGGCATTAGATTCTCATAAGGAGTATGCAACCTAGATCCCTCGTGTGCGCAGTTCCCAGGCATGAGCTCAGGTGGTAGTAGTGCTCACTCACCTGCAGCTCTCCTCCTGCTGTGTGGCCCAGTTCCCAACAGTCCGTGGACCTGCACTAAAGGCTGTGGCCTGGTCTGCTGACCTCTCTCCAGAGCCCACGGTACTAGTCCATGGCCTGGGAGTTGGGGACCCCTGCTCTAAGCAGTGAGGGAGCTGATTTGCAGACGGGGGAGTGGACACCGGGCAGCTGGAGCCCTGGCTTTCTGCCACTGTCTCCTGGTGAAGGGCGGGCCTGGCTGGGAGGAGAGGGCCCCCCTCCAGCCTCCCCAGGGGCATGATGCGCTGTGTGTCCCTGCTTCTAGATGCCGACAAAAGGATCAAGGTGGCGAAGCCCGTGGTGGAGATGGATGGTGATGAGATGACCCGTATTATCTGGCAGTTCATCAAGGAGAAGGTAGTGCCCCCTCCTGAAGTGGGTGGCTCTCCAGGTGGGCTGGCCAGGGATTGTTCTGTCCCACAGGGTCTTCTGGACTGCAGGTCCCTAGGACCCCCCCGTTGTCCTGGTAGGCAGCAGCAGCTCTGTTTCTCTCCCTCTGTCTACCCTTCTTTCACATCTGGTCCACTAATTGTTCAGAAGTCGTCAGGCGGGGGCCTGTCCCCAGCAGTCCGTGTTGTGATGGTGCCAGATCCCACACGTTCTGTCAACTTTGAGAAGCTTCAAGGTTAATCCTGTATCATTTCCATCTTGATCCCCTACGTTTTGCCTCACTTCTTGAAAAGGAGTGAAAAGGGAACAGGGCTGGTGTGTAGGGCAGTGACCCAGCCTGCAGTTGTGACGAGCCACCATGGCAAAGGGGTCCCAGAGTGGCCGCTTGGCTTCTCCAAAGTTGCCGTGGTCTATGTATGTCCAGGAGAGCATGTAGTCCTTGTGAAGGCCCCACACTGTGTGTGCGTTCATGGGACAAAGGTTGAGAACTGTCACTTCCAACTGTAAGATCTCAAAGCACTTGAGAAGAGGAAACCAGTTGTATAGAGAAATCTAGATGTACTTGGGGTTGGGGTTTGGCTGAGTTGATGGGCCATGTGAGGGGGGCACACAGGCACAGTGGAGGAAGAACCCTCCAAAAGACTGCGGCCTGGCCTGCCAACCTCTCTCCAAAGCCCCAGCCTCTGCCAGCTCTGGCCAGGCCCCACTGAGAAATGGCTGACTCCAGCTTTCTGCTGCGCCCCTCCACTGGCCTTCACTCATCCCTGTTTTGACTGACTGTCCCCTGCCATGGCCTGCAGACTTCTTATCCTGCCCTTTGTTGTCATGTCCCTGAGTCACTGGGGTGACGCCTTGCTCTGGCCCTCTGTCCCCAGCTCATCCTGCCCCACGTGGACATCCAGCTAAAGTATTTTGACCTCGGGCTCCCAAACCGTGACCAGACTGATGACCAGGTCACCATTGACTCTGCACTGGCCACCCAGAAGTACAGTGTGGCTGTCAAGTGTGCCACCATCACCCCTGATGAGGCCCGTGTGGAAGGTGCGAGGGTGTGGAGGTGGGCGGGCCAGGGAGGGTCACAGGCTTCTCCCACCGGCCTCTCCAGACTTGGGGTGGGGCAGTTGGCCATGTCACTCATCTCGGGACTGGGAGGTTGGGAGGCTCCAGAGCTGGGGCTTTCCTGAGGCCAACTGCACCTGAGGCCAGTCTCCCTGTGTGTGCCTGGTGGACAGTGGGGCCTCAGAGGTCACCTTTGATGAGGCTGGGGCAGGCGTGGGTAAGGGGCTGGCCTCAGGTTCCACGGTTAGGGCACAGCAGAGCTGAGAACAGAATCCATGTCTTCCATCTCCCAGGCCAGTGGTGTTTCTGCTTCACTCTGGCTCTGACAGTGGTAGGTGTCATCGGTGACAGGGCTGAGGAGGAGGAGGAGGAGGAAGGTAATGCTGATGTGGTCACAGTAAGGATGGCTTCTTTGGGCAGTAGTCCATTCTGGCGTGGACAGTCTTGCAGGCAGGTATGCAGAGAGATTGTGCAGAGGAGTGCTGTGTGTAAGGCCTGTGTCCTTCAGAGCCTCAGCAGCCTCTGGGGAACATTGCTGTTGCCCTCCTGCCACTGGCTTGGCCTTGCAGGTCTGCCTCTGTCCCCATGGTCATGCAGGGTCACTGAGAGGTGCCCCCACCAGGCCTAGACTGGCTTCTGGTCCTTGGCTGTTGGGGCCGCTCTCGAGGGTTCCATGAAGTCACAGCAGTGTGTGTGCAGAGGGGCCAGGTTTGGATAATTCGAGAAAGGATGGTTGAGGAGTTTTCTGAGCTCTCTCTTCCTACTTTCCACAGTTGGAGGGAGCTGGCGGAAAGTACTCGAGATACATCTGCAAATTCCCCAGGCCTGCCCCTGTCCTGCAGGTCATGCCTGACCCACAGCACTGGGATCATTTGAGTGTTGAGCTCTTCATTTCACCTGAACCTTGGGAGTTGTGTATCCCCATTTATGGACAAGGCAGGAGAGGGTCACAGCCTTAGGAACTGGGGTGGCGTTGGGGCCAGGACCGGAGCATGTGGAGTGGGCAGTGTGTTGTCAGGCTTCGTCAGACAAGTCCTTCCCCCGGACTGTACTCCCTCCATGTGTGATGTGGGAATCATAATGGCCAACAGAGCACTTAGCATGGACCGGGCACCGTTCTAGGCCCTTTACACACGAGCTCATTTCGTCCTCACGACAACACTTAGGCTGGTTATTTTTCCAGTAATTTTTTTTTACAGCTTTGGTTGAGCCACTTTTGTAAGCCTCACCATTAAAACTGGCAGACTTGCTGGGCATGGTGGCTCACACCTGTAATCCCAGCACTTTGGGAAGCCGAGGCGGGTGGATCACCTGAGGTTGGGAGGTCGAGACCAGCCTGACCAACATGGAGAAACCCCATCTCTCCTAAAAATACAAAATTAGCTTGGTGTGGTGTCACATGCCTGTAATTCCAGCTGCTCGGGAGGCTGAGGCAGGAGAACCGCTTGAACCCAGGAGGCAGAGGTTGTGGTGAGCCGAGATCGCGCCATTGCACTCCAGCCTGGGCAATAGGAGCAAAACTCTGTCTCAAAAAAAAAAAAAAAAAAAAAAAAATTGGCAGACTCCAGAGCCCACACATTTGCACTCTAGACTCTACTGCCTTCCTCATGAAGAATTTTAGGACCCCCGTCTGGCTGTGTTGTTGCTTGGGGTTCAAATTCTGGTTGAAAGATGGCGGCTGCAGTGGGACCACTATTATCTCTGTCCTCACAGAGTTCAAGCTGAAGAAGATGTGGAAAAGTCCCAATGGAACTATCCGGAACATCCTGGGGGGGACTGTCTTCCGGGAGCCCATCATCTGCAAAAACATCCCACGCCTAGTCCCTGGCTGGACCAAGCCCATCACCATTGGCAGGCACGCCCATGGCGACCAGGTAGGCCAGGGTGGAGAGGGGATCCACTGACCTGGGCACCCCCCGACTGGAGCTCCTCGCCTAGCCATCCTCTTGTCTCTGCAGTACAAGGCCACAGACTTTGTGGCAGACCGGGCCGGCACTTTCAAAATGGTCTTCACCCCAAAAGATGGCAGTGGTGTCAAGGAGTGGGAAGTGTACAACTTCCCCGCAGGCGGCGTGGGCATGGGCATGTACAACACCGACGAGGTGAGGCTGGCTTGGGCATCCTGGGCCCCTCCTCTCCCAGCTTGTCTCTTCATCTCTGTCTCGTGGCTTTCCTTTCTTCTGTAATGGCCTCATTCTTAGGCCACAAAGAGGCAGAAATGGCCACCAGGGCTGGGCATGGTGGCTGACACTTGTAATCCCGGCATTTTGGGAGGCCAAGGCAGGATTGCTTGAGACCAGAAGTTTGAGACCAGCCTGGGCAACAGTGAGACCCCATCTCTTGAAACAAAAAGAAAAGAAAAGAAAAGAAAAGAAATGGCCACGAGCAGCTCCAGGCGTACTCCTGCCTGCTTGGCTACCCTATCAGAAGAGAATGCCTCTTTATCCCCAGTTCCAGCTCCAATGCCAGGCTGAGTCACATGACCACCTCTGAGCCAATCACAGAGGCCCTGGGGAGAAAGGCTTCTGATTGGATAAGCCAGGGACACACTGTCAACCCCAGCGCTAGGCCTGGGAATTAGCCCTGCCCCAGCCACATGTAGTCTAAGGCGGTGCTTTCCAAAAAAAAGTTGTTTCCAAAAAAAAAAAAAAAAAGGCGGTGTTTTCCAAAAAAAAAAAAAAGGCGGTGTTTTACAAAGCAAAGTTGAGAGGGAGAGGCTGGGCCAGCAGAAACATCGTGTGCACTGCACGGAGGCTGGTGTTAAACAGTCGCGTGGGCGGCGGGGTACCGTTCCTGGAGAGCTGGGCCTTGCCCTGGGAGGTGGGAGGTTGCCGGCAATCGCCAGGCTAGGGCACCACGCCAGGGCCCTGTCTCTCCCCCTGCAGTCCATCTCAGGTTTTGCGCACAGCTGCTTCCAGTATGCCATCCAGAAGAAATGGCCGCTGTACATGAGCACCAAGAACACCATACTGAAAGCCTACGATGGGCGTTTCAAGGACATCTTCCAGGAGATCTTTGACAAGTAAAGCCTCATCCATGTACTCTGTGGCCTTTCTTCCCTTCCCCCCATGCTGTTCCCATCCTACCCTGGGAAGGTCGCTATTAGAGTGCATTTGGCTCAGCTCCGAGGCTCAGGGAGGGATCCCCAACCTGTCAGCCTTCTGCCCTCTCCCCATAACAGACCTTTTTACTCCCAGGCACTATAAGACCGACTTCGACAAGAATAAGATCTGGTATGAGCACCGGCTCATTGATGACATGGTGGCTCAGGTCCTCAAGTCTTCGGGTGGCTTTGTGTGGGCCTGCAAGAACTATGACGGAGATGTGCAGTCAGACATCCTGGCCCAGGGTACGCTGGGAGGACGCTGCTCCCTGTGGGGGTGGACTGTTGGTCTTCTCTGGCTGGAGGGATTTTCAGACCCTTTTGGTAGAAAACTCTAGTGGAGCAGGACTCATTGCAGGGTCCTCTGTGGACAGCAGGGGGCAGGAGCTCCCTGGCATCTGAGTGAGAGAGGATCACAAATTAGGTTTGGACTGGTGTATGACTGAGGCTGCTCTTAGAGAGAAAGGAGGGCACAGGAATTCCAGGGCTAGGTTGACAGCCCTAAGGTTGCTCCAGTCCATGATGGAGCCTCATGACTCTTTGGTTCCAGTAGGAAAATGGGATCAAGCGGGACTGGAGGTTCTTTAAACTACAGCGAATGCATTTTGCATAGTGAACCTAATGGATGGAAGAGAATGTTGGGGAAGCCTGCAAACCCCCAAGCCCTAGGGTGTCCTAAAAGACAAATCAGATTGCAGTAAAAAGTATAGGTGATGAGGTCAGGAGTTTGAGACCAGCGTGGCCAACATGACGAAACCCCGTCTCTACTAAAAATGCAAAAAAATTTAGCTGGGCATGGAGGCGGGCACAGTCATGGACACCTGTAATCCCAGCTACTTGAGAGGCTGAGGCAGGAGAATCTCTTGAACCCAGGAGGTGGAGGTTGCAGTGAGCCGAGATTGCGCCATTGCACTCCAGCCTGGGCAACAAGGGTGAAACTCCGTCTCCAAAAAAAATAAAAAATAAAAAATAAAGTATAGGTGAGACCATTAGAGAAGAACAGCGAGAAATGGGCCAATTGTGTTGGGAACAAGAGCAGGAAAGGTGGTAGGTGTGGGAAACAGGCAGGACATAGAGAGTGAAAGAGAAACCTAAGCTTACCAGGGCAGCTCCTGGTATGGGGAAAAGGGAAGCCCAGGACGGGTTCTGATGAAAAGCAGAGTCTTGTTACTTTGTGTAAACCTTTGGCTTTACTTTGGAAAGTTCAGTGGGGATCCTCTCACCGAACAATTCCCATCTAGGATAGAAGGATGAAACGCCATAGCAGATGAGGCAGAGGCATGAAAATGAACCTTAAGTGTCTAAGGAATGGTGTGAAGGTGCAGGTAAAATGGAGAAGGGATTGCTTACAGCCAAAATTCTTAGAATTCATAGACAAAGCATTTTCCTGTAGATGTTGTCCATGTTTTCTTTCTTCAATCCTTATTTTGGTGTCATGGGGGTGCCTTTGAAGCCCTGGAGTCCTTGACAATAGAAAAGCTTGCTGGAGTTGACATGTGGATTTGGGAGCATTCAGAAATTAATCAAAAAGCTTGAAAGTGGCCTAAGAGAGTAGCTGCAAAAGTGATTGTTGGGAAATAGCTGACCACAGCTTTATTGTTTTCCTTGAATGTGCCTCCGGGTCACGAGCCAGGCTGGGTGGCAGGCTGTGGGGGACCACAGGACTCTGTGGCCTCTTGGGCCCTGTGGGCCACAGGCTGTGGGGCGCCTGGAGCTGGTGACACAGATGGATGTTAATGTGCTGGTGATAGCCACCCTCCAGTGCCCTCCAGCCCTGTGCTGGGCCCTGGAGACCCACAGGAGGGTGAAGAGACCTGGAACAGTCCCTGTCCTCCCAGTTGCAGCTGGGGGAGGCTGAGTAGAGCCACGAACTATGGCAGCTACAATATTGGGTTGTAGAGGGCAGCAGGGCTCAGCTGGGTGGCCCCAGGAGAGGCGAGGCCCTGAGAGAAAGGCTTTCTACCCTCCAGGCTTTGGCTCCCTTGGCCTGATGACGTCCGTCCTGGTCTGCCCTGATGGGAAGACGATTGAGGCTGAGGCCGCTCATGGGACCGTCACCCGCCACTATCGGGAGCACCAGAAGGTGAGTGCAGGGCATGGGGCCTCACAATGCCCCTCTACCCCAGGGGCCTAAAGCCCACTGGGCTGAGGGCTGGAAGGACGAGCCTGACCCACCAGCCCAGGGGCGGGCAGCTGTATCTGGGCAGCCTCCTCACTAGCTGGCTCGGCTCTTGATCTCCCTGCAACCCCCGTCCCCAGGGCCGGCCCACCAGCACCAACCCCATCGCCAGCATCTTTGCCTGGACACGTGGCCTGGAGCACCGGGGGAAGCTGGATGGGAACCAAGACCTCATCAGGTGAGCATGGAGGGAGAGGCCGGAGCTGCCCAGGACAGGCTCTGGGTCCTGCCCTTGCACAGATGGGGTCTCATTCTGCCCCATCCCCATAGGTTTGCCCAGATGCTGGAGAAGGTGTGCGTGGAGACGGTGGAGAGTGGAGCCATGACCAAGGACCTGGCGGGCTGCATTCACGGCCTCAGCAAGTGCGTGGCCTGGGGTGGTAGGCAGACCCTGGGGCCATGTGGGAGGAAGCCAGGGGACCCCTCCTAAAGTCCCCCTCATGAGTCAGCTTAGCTGCAAGGGGGCCTGGGGCAGGACATGTCCACAGCCCTGAGAGACTGCTCAGGCCAGCCTCTGTAGACCAGGTCTAGTGAGTTCCTCCCCATCCCTGAGGCTGGCTACTCAGAGCTCCTTCCGACCCTGCCCACACCCCTTTCCCAGCTTCTCTCAGGAGAGCAGTTACCTGGCAAGACAGACCCTGCGGGTGCCTGCCGAATCTCGGTGGCCTCATGGTAGGGGGCTATAGCTGGCCTCTGGCCTGTAGTCTGGGTGGCAGGAGATGGCTGTTCTGATGCCCAAGCTCAGGCTGTTCCCTGGAAGGGCCTGGCTGATGGCCTTGGCAAGGCCTGGAGCCACCCCTGATGTGAGTGGTGCTCTCTCTGCAGTGTGAAGCTGAACGAGCACTTCCTGAACACCACGGACTTCCTCGACACCATCAAGAGCAACCTGGACAGAGCCCTGGGCAGGCAGTAGGGGGAGGCGCCACCCATGGCTGCAGTGGAGGGGCCAGGGCTGAGCCGGCGGGTCCTCCTGAGCGCGGCAGAGGGTGAGCCTCACAGCCCCTCTCTGGAGGCCTTTCTAGGGGATGTTTTTTTATAAGCCAGATGTTTTTAAAAGCATATGTGTGTTTCCCCTCATGGTGACGTGAGGCAGGAGCAGTGCGTTTTACCTCAGCCAGTCAGTATGTTTTGCATACTGTAATTTATATTGCCCTTGGAACACATGGTGCCATATTTAGCTACTAAAAAGCTCTTCACAAAATTGTCTGCTGTGTTTGTCCCTGAGGGGAGGAGGTAGTGGGACCCTGAGGCAGAGGCCCTGCTAGAGCTGGCAGGTTCCCCTGGGGCAGACCAGAGCACCTCAGGAAGGGGCTGCCACGGCAGGGAAGGGACCAGGCAGCCCTGGGAGCCCGCATTCCACAGGGGCCCACTGCGGAGTTCTCGGACACTCAGGGCACAGGCCTGTGGGTTCCCTGGAATTTTCTAGCATGATCCAGTTTCTGTGTCCAGTTCTCCATTCTGAGAGTCAATCAGTTCCTGATAGGTTGTCATTGATTTTTTTCTTCGTTGGTTTTAACCTTCTAAACATCTCCAGGCCACTTTCTTAGCCTTTTTCTAGGTACTAAAAAGAGGTCCTACCCACACCTGCCTCACACTTCTCCTTTCCAAGGCTGCCTGAGTTTGGAGGGGCTTGGGTGTGTGTGAACAAGGGCCCTGCATTGTCTAGGCCTGCAGTTCCCAGGCTTGGGTTCACTTTCACCATGCATTGGCAAAACTAGAAAAGTAAGCTTGTGACAAATTGTTCTCGGCCGGGCACAGTGGCGCACGCCTATAATCCCTGTACTTTGGGAGGCTGAGGTGGGTGGATCACTTGAGGCCAGGAGTTCGAGACCAGCCTGGCCAACATGGTGAAACCCCATCTCTACTCAAAATACAAAAATTAGCCAGGCGTGGTGATGCGCACCTGCAGTCCCAGCTACTCGGGAGGCTGAGGCAGGAAAATGGCTTGAACCTGGGAGGCAGAGGTTGCAGTGAGCCGAGACTGCACCACTGCACTCCAGCCTGGGTGACAGAGCAAGACTCTGTCTCAAAAAAAAAAAAAAAAAAAAAAAAAAAAAAATTGCTCTATGCAAGTTTTTTAGCCCCATGTAAAAAGGAAAAATAAAAGTTGCTCTAAAGCTACATATAATCAAAAGGACTGTCCTCTGCATAGTAAGTTCTGCAAAGCTTCTTCTTTTTGGTGTTAAAATGTCCTGGAGAAGAGTTGTATAATCTTTATAAAGTCCTGGCCAGGTGTGGTGGCTCATGCCTATAGTCCCAGCACTTTGGGAGGCCAAGGTGGGAGGATCACTTGAGCCCGGGAGTTTGAGGCTGTAGTGAGCTATGACTGCACCACTGTACTCCAGCCTGAGTAACAGAGTGAGACCCCATCTCTCAAAACCCCATCTTACAAAGTCCCTTTCCTAAATACTGGGGGGACTCCTATGGCTCCTGAAACCCGACCATTGCGGTAGACTGAGTGGCTTTGGAAGGGCTCTAGCCCTCCATCCACACTGGTGACCCCCCGCTTGCTTTTCCTGAGTAATGCCCTGAAACTCTCAGGGCTATAAGAAGAAACGTGGACTGCTGGCTCTAGCAGGCCCAGCCCCTGGGAGGAAGCTCAAGGCTTCCTGCCTCTTCTTGCCTGTCACCAGCACGGGGCTGGCAGCTCTGCAGAACGCAGCCTCTGAAGCCCAGCCTGGCATCGGGAGCTGGCTTCTTTCCTGAAGCCATGTGGGTGGGTAGGGAGGGGAAGCAGCTTTTCTCTGCAAGTGGTGGGAATACAGGGGCCGTGGCCCACACCACTCTCTTGGGCCCGGGGCAGCTGGCTATAGGCGCCTGGCCCTGCAGGGGGCCATTCCAGTGCAGAGGATGGTCTCAGCCTCCCCCGGGCCCTGGGAGAGTGCAGCCCTGCTGTGTGGGGCTGGGAAGTTTTGCTGGGAGTTCCTGCTGGGAGTGAGGGCCAGGTCCCCAAGAGCTGGGGAAAGAAGCATTTGCAGTCACCTCACTAAAGAATATTCATTTATTTATAATTATTGCTAAGTAAACTTCTCTTTTAAACAGGAACATAAAAACACAGTAGGGCTTTGCACAAGTGGAATCTCTAAACAGTTGGTTTGTATACATGTCAAAATAAGTTAGAATGGAATTTGTCCAGGAGTTTCCAAGTCACCCGAGAGGCTGTGCACCTCTTTTGAGAAGGTTAGGGAGGGGTACAGACAGGAGCCTTGCCAAGACCACCCCCCAGCTCAAACTGTGAGTTGTGCTGTTTCCTCCTCCTAGCTTTGCCCAGGTCCAAGGCACAGGGCAGGGGGCGTTCAAGTATCGAACCTCACAGAGGGCCAGTGCTGACGGCGGGGCTGGGGGAGGGAAAGGAGAGCCCCACCCTGGGGGCCAGACCTTCTCCCTTCAGTTTCCAAGACCAAGGCCACTGCACTGGCAGGAGGGAGGAGGAGGAGGAGAGGTACAGGGTTCTTTTTGGTACCAGGGGAGAAAGACGTGGGAAGAGGTAGTTGCAGGGGATGATGCCTTCTGCTCAGCAGGAGAAAATGTCTTATACAGTGACGGGGTCACTGCCACCTGAGGGTCATCATGGCGGGCACCTGGGAGGTCGTGGGGCTTCGGGGTCTGGAAGCCATACTTGGGCCACCTTGTCCACCCCTCAGTCCTGATCACAGTCACCCTGAGGCCTGGCTTGGTCCTTCACTTAAGGATCCAGCCTTGGGGGTGGCTGCGCTGCAGATTGGTTCCTCCCACCGCAGGCTGTTCCCTTCTCCGGGTTTCTAGGCTGAAGCTAGTGGCTTCATCTGTGCCTTTGGGGAAGACCCCTGCTTGCCCCTCCCCACTGAGGCCTCAGGAGGCAAGTGGGTGGGGGGGTCCGGGTGCCCTAGAGTTCCTGAATGTGCTATTTCACTGCCCTGGGCCTGTCATCTCTGGTTCCAGGGGCAGGAGCTGGCGTGGGAACAGAGGGGAAGAGAGCAGGCGAGCGAGGGAGCTAGCTGTTGGCTGAGCAGAGTCAGCAGCCCTGACAGCCGAGGATGGGACATGGGACAGAGCAAGTCAGCGACTGCAGGAGCCAGGCAGGGGTGGAGGGCTTCCCAGCTCTGCCTTCTCCTGCCTCCCACCCCAGCCTGCTGAGGCTGCTGCCAGCGGCTGCACCTCCAGGGCCAGGGTGACAGTCCCCATGGAGCCCCAGTCCTGCCCGGCCAGGCTGCTCGGGGTGGGTGGGTAGGAAGCACGCACAGCACATTAGGAAGCTTACGCTTGGAAAAAGAAAATGCATCTCCATCAGAAAAGGTCATAGGTGACACACAGTTGGAAAGAAAAAAATAATAAGTTACCTTCAGAAGACCCCCTTTGCTCAAAAAAACCCTTGATTTCCCTCTGTGGGCTTTACTTTCCTTTTTAAAATACGTTGCTCTTTCCGGGAAGCTGCTGACTCGTGGCTATCCCCGTCGCAAGGTGGACACTGAGGAATGAGAAATGACTGCGGTCCCCCTCCCCGACAGGTGGTCCTGGGCCTCCCCCAAGGACAGCCCTTCTTGGTCCCCTGTGATGCCCTCACTCCGCCCTGCCCTGCCCCATGCTTCTGGTTTTGTTAGTGTGTGCCTGACGCGGGGCCTGTCCTGGCTTTGTTCCTAGTGGGGCCCCCTGGTGAGGCACTCCAGCTAGGGTCGAAGTGGACGACATGTGTTGCAATCCACTGTAGGGACACTCACTTCCAGAAAGGGATGTAGGACAGGGGTCTTCTGGGGGCTGGGTGCCCCCCAGCTGTCCTGCAGGCCAGGGCCAGGGCCACGTGCACACCTGGCTTGAGGAGCGCATGGGAGACCCCGGGAGGTAGAAGGCAGAGTGCCCTGCCTGGCGGTCCGTCGACAGGGCGGGGAAGGGGGCCTGGACAAGGTAGAGGTGGGCAGTACTGGCCAGAGGGGAGCTCAGACATCCTTAGAGGCAGGAGTTGGCCGTGAAAAAGACATGGCTCAAGTGGTCTCTTCTTCCAGTGTCAGGACCCCTGAAGAGCTCTGCTGGGCCTGGAGAGACCCCGAGGGCCGGTGCCCTTGTGACCTGTCCCCAGTGGCCCCACTTCTCCCACTCCCCACGGAAGCAGGCCAGGGAGACCCAGATCTGGGCCTCGCGTGTTCTCCTTCCCTTGCTGGGATGCCTGGGCCTGTGCTGGCTCACAGCCGGGGCCAGTAGTACAGTCTCCATTTGGTCTAAAGGTCCCTAGTGGTGCAAATGACTCGGGGAGGGAGGGCTCAGAACAGTGGGGCAGTAGCTTGTTTCTCGGCTGCAGGAGGTGCAGCCTGCAGCCCATGGGTCTCACCCCCATGCCCTCGCCCCCGGCCCCCGTTAGGGGTGGCCCAGCTTGCGCTATAGCACATTGTAGTAGGCCATCTCTTTCATGGCCTGTTCAGTGAGGACACTGGCCTCGGCGCTGCTGTCCACGCTCGCATAGCTGTAGGCGTTCTCCTCGAAGTCCTCCATCTCCTGCTGGCCGTCGAGCTCTGAAGGGTCAGTGCCTGTCAGCTCCATCATGGGGTCTGTAAGAGAGGGGCACAGTCAGACCTGGCTGCCATCTCTCGGGAGGAGCCAGTCACCCCCACGCAGGAAGCTGATGGCCTTTCTAAAGAGAGGGCTTCCCAGTCACGGCCTCCAGGAGTCTCAGCTGCCTCTCAGCCTTCCCACCCTCGGACGCCTCAGGGTCCTGTGGCTTCTAGCTGGGTGACCAGACCTAGGCCCCAAAGCTGAGTGTGGGGGAGTGGGTGCTATCAGTGAGGGCCTTTGTGGTGGAGAACTGCAGGCCTGGCCTTGAAGCCTTCTTTGGGTCATTCTTCCATTGACCCGTCAAAGTCACTAAGCCCTACTTATCCCTTCTCTGCAATGTTTCTCTGGCCACGGGAAGCTGCCTGCGTGACATCACCTTTGCAGCACTCATTAGCACCTGCTGCATGCCAGCCACTTCGCAGGCCTCGCCTCATCCAGCAATCACAACAGCCCCATTTAGCAGCTCAGAAGGCTGAGGTTTAGAGAGGTGAATCAACTTGCCAAAGGTCACCCAGCACATGCTGTTGTTCTGAGCCACTGTGCTGCTCTGCCTCACACTGCGGGAGGGTGAGGCCTCCTGCCGGCAGCTGTGCTTTTCTGTTGGTTCTAGCCATTGGTATCCTTGGGCCTGGCTCTCCAGGGACAAACACTCAGGGTAGGTTCATAAAGATATGTCAGGCAAAAACTCCTAAGAGGCCCCTTATAATTTTATAAAATTGAAATCTCATTATAAAGCTCTTACAGGGGAAGCCCAGGGTAGGATCTGGGGGAACTGGGAGGCTGGCAGGGGCTGTGGCTGGCCCCCAAAGTGCATTCTGGCCCTGTCCGCTGAGATGTGCGTGTTTTGGGGGAAACAGACCCCAGGCTGGGGGCAGCCCTGACAGGTCTAAGGCAGACTTTCTCAACCTTGGCACTTAGGGCCATAATTCTTTGTTGTGAGGCTGTCCTGTGCATTGTAGGATGTTTGACAGCATCCCTGGCCTCTACCCATGAGATGCCAGTAGCATCACCCCAGTTGTGACAACCATAAATGTCTCCAAACATGGCCAACTGTCACCTGGAAGACAAACTCATGCTCAGTTGAGAACCACTGGTCTAAGAGTAATCCCATCCCTTCCCAATTAGTGGTTCAGGAATAGGCACGTGACCCAATCCTGTTGAATGGGTCATGAGGAAAGGCCTGCTAGTAAGTTCTTAGCACCTTCTCATTGGTGTCAGAGAGCTAAGGGGAGCAGGCTGTCACTCTTCCACTGGATGTGAACAAGGAAGCACACACCCTGACGGCCACTGGCAGCCATCTTGTGACCATGAGGATATTCGCAGCTAATGCTGTGGACAGAGGAAGCCTCACCCTGATGTCACTGTTGGCAAGCTGAATCAGCCAGCTCTGAAGAGGGCCTAGACTTTGAACCATTTCTTTTCTCTTCTTTTTTTTTTTTTTTTTGAGACCGAGTTTCGCTCTTGTTGCCCAGGCTGGAGTGCAATGGTGCAATCTTGGCTCATCACAACCTCCACCTCCTGGGGTCAAGCGATTCTCCTGCCTCAGCCTCCCAAGTAGCTGAGATTACAGGCATGCGCCACCATACCCGGCTAATTTTTTTTGTATTTTTAGTAGAGACGGGGTTTCTCCATGTTGGTCAGGCTGGTCTTGAACTCCCAATCTCAGGTGATCCGCCTGCCTCGGCCTCTCAAAGTGCTGGGATTACAGGCGTGAGCCACTGCGCCTGGCCCCATTTCTTTTCTTTTTTTGACAAGGTCTTGCTCTATTGCCAAGGCTGGGGTGCAGTGGTGCAATCATGGCTCACTGCAGCCTCAAACTCAAAGTGATCCTCCCAACTCAACCTCCCGAGTAGCTGGGACGATAGGTGTGCGCTACCACACCTGGTCTTGAGCCATTTCTTAATGGATTTCCTTATTGTTTAGGCCAGTCTGAATGGGTATCTGTTACTTGTGCCTGTAGCATCTAACCCACTGTGAGTCTTCCGGACTTTATAAAACAAGGTCACTTGACCCA